>NC_000004.12:83618350-83769865 GCF_000001405.40 Homo sapiens | reverse complement strand
ATGTTAGCCACTAGAATTAAAAGAAAATCTAAGCTACTTAAATCTTTAAAGAAATGGATATGGAGCAAATGTCAACATTTTCCACTTAAGAATAACATTTTTTTCTAGGTTTGGGGAAATCTCCCTCTAATTTTATAGCAGAATGAGAATGAGGGAAAAAACTGCATATGATCACAAAACAAAATAAATTATTTTCTCTCCAACTTAAAGAAAGAGCTACAGCCAGAAATGTGGTAGTTTTGACCTCCTCCTGAAAATATGTTCTATGGAGCAAGCTGTAAGATGTGTATCCGAACAGAGAATGTCCCACTCATCAATGTCTACATCAGGACCTCTTATCAATGAGAACCGAAAGTCACAAGATTCCATTAGCCCGGAGCTATCAAGGTATTGATGAGGCTGTGGGAAGACTTGTCCTTTATTGTAAGCTGCCTAGACACGCTTTCCTGATGGGGAAAGGGGCCTGTGGTGTCCTCTGCATGCTTAAGTATCTTTAGAAATACACAGAAGGGGGAAGGATACCATTAAAGCAGTTTTATCTTAGCCAAGGACTGCATCACATGTCTGAGATCAATATGACTCACAAGACATATAGGTGGTTGATAGAGAGTAAGTTATCTTTAGTAAATTAAGGTAAGAGGTGATGTGATTGGGGGTGGGGAGGAGGCACACTCTCTTTTGAAAGATTAAGCTAGAAACTTCCGCACGTAATTTGACACATCTCGGGAAAAAAAAAAAAATGTTTCCTGCAACCGAATCTAAAATAGGTTCCATTCCCTAGAGTTTCATTTGTGGTGTAGCCCAGCTGAATAGATGAGGGCTGCCACCTCTAAGTCTAATCTTAAAGACATTTTTTAAAAAACAAACTATCTCCTAATAGATACTTATAAGCTGTACATCACTGGCTTCAAATGCCAACACGTTGGTTATTACTCTAGCATCATTTTCCAAAGTATATAATGAAGTTACTTTATTTTACTATAAACCTGATCAAAAGTAGGTAGGAAAATCATATATATTAATATACAGTATCGCACAGTAATATATAGTATATAGTTATAAGATAAAATTATTGAATATATAATTATAAGTAACAATTTTAAATATAAATGTAAACCATATGTAATTTAAAAGACTATTTAAGGGAACTGTGATTTGAATATGTTGGAAAGCAAGAAATATATCTATAACTCAATCATCCTTTCAATTATCTTGTCTTATGAATTTGCATTTGTGTTTTCTTAAAGAATACTTTTATTTTAATAGCTATAAATGCACATGCCTACATATAGATATGCAAAGTAATTACATTATGGATGCTTGAAATATAAGTAACTGGAAGAAAATTCTGAATTCTTGTAAGGTATGGGATGAAAAGCTCTGTGGAGAGAAACAAAAAGTGAATGATGAAAAAAGTGTCTTTTCCGAAGCAAGAAGTGCCTGATGGCGCAAATCCAGGTATTGCTATGGGATCCTACGCCTCCAGATTAACCTTAAACCTGTCCTTTAGCATTCCATAAACATGAACTACCCAAACTACCCAGACATCGCTAGTCCTGTATGTCCATTTCACTGCTTTCTGTTTACACACAAGGAGGAAAGCAGAGAAGCAAGTCAGACAAAGGTGATGGTCTTCAGGATGCCAAATAATTCTGTGATATTTACTATATTCAAAGAGCTGGGATAATGACTCGTAATGCATCTACTACAGCTGTTACTATGATACAGCAAACAAATGTTTTAAAGAGTTACTGTGATAGAGTTATCTTCAAGATTTGTTCCCAAAAAGTGGATAAAAGAAGAGTTGGGAATTTGGATGAAGAACAGAGCAGGAAAAATTCCCATAGGATTTTGTTTGAACCTCTGTGATTCCAGCTTAGCACATCTGTCTGAATGAAGAATTGATTTACATGGATATTTTATCTTTAGTACTGAACTGGAAGTACCTTGAGGACAAGGGACCATGTTTCACTTATTTTTGAACCTTCACACTGTCCACCTATGTGGGTTCTATCTTACATACATATTCAATACTAAGATTTTTTCAAATGTCTCCTCTTCTGAGAGACCTTTCCAGACACCCCAAACTAAAATCGCCCACCTCCAAGTAAGAAGGGGTATTGTCATTTTCACTGCTCAATCCTCTTAGCCTAAAACAGTAAACAGTCAACAGTAAGTGCTTATTGGATGAATAAATGAAATATCTTGTAAAATAATGCTAAAATGAAATCTGAAAATAATCCAAAAAAGAGGGCTATTGGGAGAAAGAGTGAGCAAATCCAACCCAGAAATTTTCATACAGGGCTATCAAAATCACACCTAAAAAGAGGTTCATAATCTTCCAGTGGAGATGACTTTGACTACTTTAATTTAGAGGTATGTGGCCAGGGTCTAAGCCCTCTTTGTCATTGATATACTTGACTGGCAGGCATGGATCTTCCCTGTCACAATATCTGAGAGGCTAAGTAATGACTGGCGCCACTTGAGTGGAAAATTCTGCACACTGTCAATACAATGGGAGTCAGAAGCACATTGTTACTCATCCTAATCAGAATAATTGTACACAGGGATGGCCCAGAAAAGAAAAGGAAATGAATGCCTGTCTGTAGGCAACAATGCAACTTCATTTAACCTTAGCAGACCAGGCAGCTGATATCATTTCTCCCTGGCACTCGCTGAGATTCTAGTGTCAAAACAGCTTCTCATTTGCAATGTATGACAGTTTCCTTACATCTAAAAAGACACTGCCACAAGTCAATAGACTATAAATTGCACTTGGAAATAGGATCATCTTAACTAAAGCCTGCCTGCTTTCCCCAGGAGGCCAATGGCTGCTCCCCCTCCTTTTAATAATTTGTATGTTTAGGTGTTCGGTCAATTTACTCTACACTTGTAATGTCTTATAGCCAAGAGCATCAATCAGATTCGGTGTGACAAAAATATCCTGCTACAATATTACAGGTTATTAAAGGGATGATGGGAACGGGCTGCATGCATTTACTGGGGCCCTTTTTTCTCATTTCAGAAAAGCTGTCATGGACCTAAACTGGTAATTCATCTTCCCTCCACTATCAACAGGTGGCTGCTAAAAGTGGACTTTGATGAGCTACTTTCATACATCTCTTTTATCTTTCCAAGCACCTCCATCCAAATTTCCTGCTTTTCCACTCTTTCTTCTTACCCTGAAAATAGCATGATTTTCGGTAGAAAGATCTATGTGGAAATATAGTATGTATCATTTTTGGCAAGGTGCTTGGGACACTAATGATATTTCATGGGGGATTTGCTGAAGTTACACAAGTTTCTATTATTCTCCTTCAGTAGAGGCCATACTGCCATTCATACATTCAGGTGGCTCCTATTTCAGGCCTAAAGTTTGAACCACATGCAAAAATTATTCATAAATGAAAACCAAATGTTTTAATACACATCTCTCTAACAAAGTAGTTGTTTGATTGCTACCCTTTTCATCAGACAAATTAAAAATAGTAACTTGGGTTGGCAGCACTTTGTTTTTCTAAGTTTTGAGGCTAAATGGCAATGGGAACAAAGATGTCACAAAACAAAATATGGCACTATTACATCAATACACCAATAATTATTAATATATCAATAATCTCTTATTTCCCAGTTCATTTACTAGTCTTCAACAAAGCATTTAGGCTTCTGACAGAAAGGTTTGATTTCCTCCACTGCTACATTTAATTCAAAATCTTAAATTTCTAGTAAGCCTCTGAACAAATTTACAACAGCCTATCAAGAAGGGAGTTAAAGATTTCTTTTACTGTTGTAAATGCTCAAAATAGCGGTTTTGGACAAAGCTGTCAAGTCTAGCTCTAAGGTGGCACCAGGCTCATACTGCAGGCTAGATGTGAAACTTGACATTACTGACAGACAGATGGTCTTGAAAGACTGATCCTGAGACATAAAGTATGGTGCTTTGAAGGCAACTAACATCACAAAATGAATTTACAGGTCTGTGTGTGTGTTTGTGTGTGTGTGTGTGTGCGCCTGCGTGTGTGTGTGTGTATTTAATGTCAGGGAAAATATTTCTTACTCTTTTTCTTACTTGTCACTCCAGTGGAAAAAAGATGTAAGCCACCGTGTGGTCAGAGATAAACAATTACAGTTATGTTTTTTAAAAAATAATTGTTAGAAAAATAAATGATTTAATTTTAAAAATCCCTAAAATAAATGCACAATGTATGATACTGTACTATCTATTGGGACCTTTTCCTCGTGGTGTGGGCCTGCCTGTCATGGTGTGTGTGTGTGTGTGTGTGTGTGTGTGTGTGCTATTACTGTATATTAAAAATTAATTTCAGGGATAAACATAAGAGTATGAATCTTAACTAGCTAAATTTTCTTTTAAAATAACAAAAGTATTTCAGTAGAAATTACAAAGGAGTATGTACCAGCTATTGCTTCTCTGATATTTTTCACAGCAAAAGGATTATGTGGTACAATTTCTCTAAGACGAGCAGTCCCATATGTACCCAAGGAATTCTCCAACACACTCTCAATACATAGGGTTAGAGAGCTTCCTCCCAGGAGGACTTCATGCAAAGATCGGCAAAACATAGCAAGGTCCTCTACCTTGACTCCTTCTACCTCTCCTCACCTCTCTTAAATGTCTTGTTGTCATTGTTATAAATACTCAGATACCAAATGCAATCAAAATATCAATACAGAAGTGACCTCATTCATTTTTAACTAATGACAAAAACAAATTATATTCATGTTCTTGAGCTATAATTACTTTAGTGACCTACTCCAATTTACTTAATTTTGCAAATACAAAGTGACACACCTAACACAATATTTGATCAAGACATGAATACAGGCTTAAGCAGGAAATGTAACTTTACTAAAGTCTTTGTCAGAAATCCGAATCATTATCTAAAGAAGCAGATTCTTTGGATACACTATTCTACTACCTTCATTGAGAAGGGGAGCCTTCTTTTTTTCCTTGGCAGATCCACCTAAAAATATGAACATCAAAAATCTTACTTTACATTCAACAACTGGTACACACACCCCTTTGTGATTTTTCTTTCTTTTTGTGAATTCTGTTAAACCTAATTTCCTCTGATTGGGTACGGGCAAAAGTCCCACACCTTACTCAAAGGATCATGAGGTAAGATGGCTTTCTACTGACTACATTTGTCATTTTAAAAGAAAATTAACATATTTACTTAATTAGTATTTATATTATATATATTCTAGAAATTATTTTTAACATGTAATGACAGCACACACACACACACACACACACACACACCAGCATGTGTGTTCACACACACACACACTATATTTTAAAAAATTCAAAGATATCTCTCATTAACTGTTATTAAGGAATGTCAAATAGGTTTGTCCTAGAAAACACCCAGTTTCTATATCATTTTTCTCACAATCTCAAATACTTGAACATAGCTAAGCACCATTATTTGCTTGCTTCTCTTGATCTGTTGTATTTGAATTTTAAACATTCTAATTTAGTTTCATAATTAGTTTCCTTATTATTGACAATTTTTACTTGAAACTAATAAGGACCAATGCCTTTTACCTAAGAGCTTACGAAGAAATTTTTGAGGGGAAAAATCAAAAATAGCACTTCTAGCTCTGGTTCCTGGCTCAAGGGGTAGGATCCACCAGATGGAACGGAGAACAGCACGGTCCTCCCACCCATTTGCTGATGAGCAGCCAGGCAGCAGTGTTCTGCGCAACTGAAGGGAGAAGCGGTCCTTGAGTCCGCTCCTTCTCACAGAGGCTACTATGAAGTGGGAATGCCCCCAATTGAATGTGCATGACATACATGAAGTAGGAGTTTGGAGTCTGGAATATCATGTTGAGATATAGGTTCTTATCCAGGGTGGGGGTCCTGTCTTGCTCACCTGTTTACAAGATTTACCCATTTATTTTTCTGTACAACAGGGTTTTGACAAATGACCTTCACCTGGAGTTAGGCAAGCTAAGGGGTTTGAGGGTATCTTTCACAAAACCACCCTCACGTCTGACACCAACTGCAAGTTCAGGGGTTTTCAAAACCACCCTCAGTTTTGATAATTTGCTGGAAGGGCTTACAGAATTCACTAAATGCTATTATGCTTATGATTATTTTTATGACAGGGGAAGGATACAAATTAAAATCAGCCAAAGGAAGAGACACATAGGGCAGAGCCTGGGAGAGTTTCAAACTCAAAGTTTTCATTGTCCTCTAGATGTATTACCCTCTAAGCACTGATGTTTAACAATACTCACAGAGTATTACCAATCAGGGGTGTTGGCCTGAGCTTTGGTGCTCAAAGTTTTTTGGGGGGTTTCATTACATAGGCATGATTGATTGATTGATTGATGGTCCACATGATTAAACCCAGCCTCCAGATCAACTGATGCAAGTGACCCAAAGCTTCCACCCTAAGTCATATGGTTGGTCTTTCCGAAATGGCCAGTACCTACTCTAAGACTATAAGGTGTAGCCCAACCCACTCTAAGATCCAGTGTGGCAGGCCACAACTCTAAACAAAGATATTCCTATCAGATATGACATTGATACTCTCCCAGAAGCCAAGGGTAAAGACTCTGTCCCTCTTTGGTGAAGGCCAAATTCTCCTCACTTTAAATCTAACATTTTTAGCTAATGCCCTCCTGTATGAGGCAATTTAAAGAGGACTCATTAGCTGATGGATTGATGAGTGGCCTGGTATCTGTCCAAAAGGAACTTAGAGTCTATGAGGGAGAGAAAAGCAACCAATTACAATGGGTGTGGTCTTGTGGGTGAAATAATACGGGCAAGCACAGGATGCAGTATGTTTCACCTATTATGGCCACATAAGAAATTACCTAAATCTCAGTAGTGGAAAGCCATCGTTTACTATGTGTGGATCAGGAACCGAAAGACATCTTGTGTCTGCTCCATGATGTCTAGGACCTCAACTAGAAAACTTGAAGGCTGGGGCCTAAAATACTCTGAAGACTCCCTTGTTCACGGATGCAACTGGCAGTTGATGCTGGCTGTCATCTAGGGGCCTCAGAACATCTCCACATGGACATCTCCATGTGGTCTTCAACATAAATTGCTTTGAGTTTTCTTAGAGCATAGTGGCCAAGTTCCAAAGATGGACACCCTGAGAGAGAGAGGGAGGACAAGTGAGCACCAGGTGGAAGCTGTGCAATCTTCTGGAATCTAGCTTTGGAGCCACATACGTCACTCCCCCTCCATTCTGTTAACCAAGACAGTTTCAAAGTCCCATTCCATTTCTGCCTCAAGGAGCAGGAAATAGACTCCATATCTTGATAAAAGCAGCAAAATTCTAAAGAGAATGTGGCCACTGCTGTGGCCATTTCTGAGCAACACAATCTGCTACACTGTGCAAACACATAGAAATGACATGTAACCTGCACTGGGAGGTGGTCTCAAGGAAGAAAACAAAGTGTGAATCATGACCGACAAAGTAAAAATTGCTTGATACTCAGTAAACAAGTGTAAGAAACAGAAACACAACATACAGCCATTTTGAAATCTCGAAAGACCACACACGCCCGTAAAGGATGAAACAGGTTAGATAGCAGGGATGAAAGGTGGTCTCCAACTTCTGCCCAGATCTTGGTAGATCTTGAGCTGCTCTGGTTTGTTCACTCTTAGCAAAGGGCAGTGTCTTTCTTTTCCACATTATCACACCTTGCCAGGAGTCCAGGACCCAGTGCTCCATCCTGACGATTTATAGATACCCATTAATGGAGGGCAGAAAGTGGGCAGTAGAGGGTGGGCCACAGAGTGCACTAGGTGAGGCTGAGCAATGTCCTGGGGCACAGCTCAGCCTGCTGCAGATGCTGGCCATGCTAATGTTTATCTGCACTGCTGGGCCATGAGGACAGCTCACAAGACAGTGACCCCATGGAAGCCAGAGGGGGGTCTTTATGTGCGCACCCTGCACCTTTTCATCTGGTACCTTCCTTCTTACCCTCTCCAGCTGAGAAATCTTGATCTTGTTTGAGGGTAGGATAAACAAAATAAAGCATGTATTCTATGCCCTACCTTATTATTGTCCTACTAATGGTATTTGAATTTAAAAATCAATATTTAGCACTTTTGTTTTCTGGCTTCATTCTCTCTAACCCAGCACTGTCCAAAAGCAATACAAAATGAGGCACAGACGTCATTTCAAATGTTCTAATAGCCACATTCGAAAGGTAAGAAGAAATAGATAGAACCAGTTTGAATAATATAATTTGTGTCTAAAATATTTCATTTTAAACATGTAATCAACATAAAAATCATTAATGAGATATTTTACATCACTTTTATACTAAAAAAATCTGGTGTGTATTTTACACTTACAACACATCTCGATTTAGATGTTAAATACTTGATCAATATTTAGATTACATAAAATGTGGAGTCAAAAAGTAGATTCATATATCAAAGATTGTTCAAGATACACCCAAAAGTCTTCCAGTAATTGAATCCAGGATCAATTTTTAAATTTTAATTTAAATAAAATGAAATTAAGCATTTAATTATTTAGTCACACCAGTCACATATGACTAATTGAACAGCACAGTTTTAGATGCACACGCTGGGAAAGACCTCCAGAGAATAAGGTGGAAGGAACTTTAAAGACTGCCTGGAGGGGTTAAGCGATGCACAGAACAGCTCATCGTTTAAAATATGTTCCATATATATATATATTTGTTCTAGGCACAAGGATACTGTACAAAATTAGTGGCTATTCGGCACCAAGTTTAAAATTCTAACATTACCAGAAATCAAATGGCCAAAAAGCAACAGGCCAAATAGAATCACCTCTTATTAAAGAAAAGGATTCCTGGAAATCCCAGCCTGGGGTCAGCACTGCAGTGCGGGGCTGGTTCTGGTGAGGTCAGGGGCTGTTCCAACCAGGATAGATGGGAACTGCCCTCCCACCACCGCCCCCTGCATAAGGGCTAACTGGCATTTCTCTTGTGCTCTTGAGCTGGGTTCCTGCCTCTCCTGATCTAAGATGTGATTAAATTGAATTGCTTTCTAAATCTGTTATGTAATTTGTATGTAATGCCCTTACTATTGGGTTTGAATACAATTGCAGTAAGATACACTAATTGATTTGTTTAATTTTATTTTCCATCCTTTGAATTGAAGCCTTTGGGACTCAATATGTAAAGTAATATGCAAATTGGGACTTTGATGCAAGAAGACTTGGCAGTTTTTTTAAACAGGATTCAAGCATTACTTGGAATCATTTAAGAGAGTAATTTCAAACAAAGCAACCTCTACTTGTCCTTCTATGTGATTAAACTTTAGTGTGCACAAACATATATATACAAAACACACTAAAAGATCACTGACTGTTAATTGATTATATAGATCAAAGAACAATCATACTTCCCCCATGATTTTTCTATCTCTAACCCTAATATAAAATAGAATAAGGTTTTATAGGTTTGCGTAACTTTCCATAGAATGAATGAAGCAGAGAATAGTTGCAAAAGAGAAATCAGTCTATTAACAACTAGTGAGCAACTACTTTGGACTGATAACAATAACTAGTGTTTACTATGTACTTACCAAACAGGCACAGTGGTCAGAATTTTATCTAGATTACTTTCCTTCTAGGGATTCAGTTAGGGACTTTCAGAGATACGTAGATGATAAAATGCACTCCCTGTGTTCTAGAAGCTTAAAATTTAAGTGCCAAATGTTGGTATCAATCAAAAATGTTTTAGGAGTTGAAAGAAGAGACATCATTTGAACCCAAATAAGTTTGGTTTCCTATTTTCCTTATTGCCAAACTCTGTTACTGTGGATGCTACAAGCATGATTCTGATTCTAAGAGAAAAATAGCTTTAATACACAGCTAAGTTGATATTAAAGCAACTGGTCTTGGCCCTCCACTTCCTCCTTCCAAATAAATGCCATTTCTCTGGGTTCAGAAGAAATCACAAATTTCAAGCCCTGAATGTAATCTCTCAAGGGTTGTCACTGTTTCTAAAGCATGGCTCACGCAATAACAGCACTGGCAATTTCATCGCTCATCGCAGTTAATATATTTCAGTATGATCGAACCATAGTTTACAGGAAATTGCTAAACTATTAATGTCATGGATGAGGAAATCAGTACATGAGATAGCCAACTCCTAAAAATCTGAGAAAATGAGAAGTTGAGGGAATGGAGCTTGTTCAGTTGCTGAGATAACATTAACAGTGTGAGTGCCGTGGCTAAGATTTCAGCTTGGAGAGGATGGGTAAAGGCAGACCCATGGCCTCAAAGGGCAAGAAGAAGCTTCCTTAAGTCTAGATGTCACTGGTGGAGTGAGGCAAGCTTTTTCTTGGACATATGTGAGCTCTCACGGGACATGAGCAGTTTTAGAATTTGGGGGGTGGGGTTTAAGAGTTTTAGAAGTAAAGACATCCGTATCAGTCTGCTCAGGCTGCCATAATAAAACACCAGACTGCGTGGCTTGAACAACAGAAATGCGTTTTCTCATAGTTCTGAAGGCTGGAAAGTCCAAGATCAATGTCCAGTAGGGTTCAGTTTCTTGTGAGTGCTCTATCCCTGGCTTGCAAATGACCACCTTCTTACTATGTCCTCACATACATCCTCTCTCTGTTTTCTTCTTCTCATAAGGATACCAGCTCTATCAGATTAGGGCCCCGTGCTTTTGATCTTACTTAATGTTAATTACCTCCTAAAAGCACTATATTCAAATACAGTGACATTGAGGGTTAGGACTTAAACATCTAAGTTGGAGGGGGGCATGGGACACAAATTAGTCCATAGCAATGTCCAAAGAGCAAGAAGTCTAACCTCTTTGTCTTTCAGATGAAGAAACTAAAGTCACTCTTCTTATATACTCTTTTTCAGCAAGAATTAAGGGCTAAAATAATTCAACAGGTGCTAGGTGCCCACATTCTAAAATAAGGGGCTAAACTACGTAAGTTGGATGTGCTGAGAGACTGGAAACCATGCTAACATCATATGGTTACCACTTTCAAGCTACACAAGAGGAGACAAAGAATTCACATAGGTGTTAAGGATGTTGGAGAGAGGGGATTTTAATGCAGATGTTGGGGAGAGAGGATATTGAAGAGAAAATATTGTTCCTGAGCAGCATGGTGTCTCTCTCCCACTTCAAAGGGGGAGAATAATGGGCACTTTCTCTCCAATGAGATGCAACAAAAACTTGGCAAGTGACCCCAGGAATTTGACAGACAGAGACACTGGTGCCTGACTCTCAAGAGTGTAAGTCTAAAACTGAAAGATTATGGCTAGATTAGATTGCAACAGAGTAAGGAGAAAGGACTCTACGGGGAGATGGCTGAGCTTTATATCAAAGACAACCACCCCACAGAGTAAATTGACCTCAACAGAAGTTCAAGAGGCTGCAGTCAGAGGTCCCCAGTGCAGGACCTCTAATGAACTCACCAAAGGGTCCCATGAGAACAAGTGCCAGTTACTGTCTATCTGCTGCATAAAGAGCTCACTGGTGTCAGATTCTAGAGTAACCACTCTATGTGCTCTTTATCCCTTGTCCATGTACTTCCCACACCCTCCCCTCCTGAGCCTGACCCATCAGGGATCAGAAGCAGCAACTGGCAGAATGGGGGAGGAGTGAATTTCAGAAAATGCAGTGAGCACTTTTTGGACTTATCACAAAATGTTTTGTTTTAAGGTGGTCTTTATCAAGCTGAGCACAGATGCATGAGTAACCCCATCAAGATCAGCCTCAAATGCTATATCTCATTGCTAACTACCATGCACGTACAAATATACCTCAAAGTTGTTTACCTATAATGATACCTAAAACTTTGAATAAAACTTCAAGTAAGTTAAATGAATTTTATGTGTGGAATGCTAACTGTACTTGAAAATAAATATGTTCCTGATACCTTGTTGACAAAACACCCAGGGATAGAGAAAATGTTGGTGAGCTAGAAATCAGAGAGACCTAACTTCTAGGGCCAGCTCCACAACTAACTTTTTCTAGGGCCTTGAGTAAGTCTCTCTGGGCCTCATTTTCCCCATCATTAAGAGCAAGATGTTGGACTCAATGAGCTCTATGGTTTTACGATTTTTTTTAATTCTTCTCTAAATCTTTCAGTATCTCACAAACAAAGGCATTTATTTGAAATTTTAAAATCCTAGAAATGATACCTCAATTTAACAGTTGAATAATTAGGGACCCAGAGAAATTCAGAAAGTTTTCCATTGTCACGCAATGAAAGAGTAGCAGTGCCAGAACAAGAAGCCAGTTCTTTGGAATCCAAGGTCAAGAGTATTTCCAAACACCATGCTGCCTTTCTACACAAGATGGCATGATTTCTCAAAGACTCTTACAGCTATTAACAAACATCATCCACAGCTACTTCTGGCTGCCCAAAGCCATCTGTATTACTGTGATAGATTGTAAAACTGTCACAAGTTCATCTCTTTCCTGTATCTAGGACCCCTGCCATACAACCACGAGTGCCTCCCATTCTGACTCTGGGCTCAGCCAACAGACTCCCCTTGGGCAATGGGACATTAGCAAATGTGATCCAAGCAGAAACTTGATAAGCACTTGTGTGGTAGGGCCTGTCCTCTTTCTGGCTGTCCTTAGAACTCTGAGTCACCATGTGAATGAGCCCAGACTAGCCTGCAAGATAATGAGGGACATGTGACCCAGTCATCCCTGGCACCCCACCCACCACCAGTCAACCCCAGAAGCAGAGCAGCATAGCGACCAGCAGTTGACTACAGATGCATGAGTGTGTCCAGTTAGGATCAGCAGAAGAACCATCTGAGCCCTACCCAAATTGCTGAACAATAGACTCCTGAGTTAAAGAAATGGCTTTGGTTTTAAGCTATTAAGCTTTGGATTGATTTATAACACAACACAACAAAGTATATAAATATACATATGTATAATCTATATATATACACACACACACACATACATACATGTTCCACATATATATATGATATAACTCCCCAAGCGAACTCTCAAAGGGATTTCTGCATGAAGCTGACAGCTACAACTAATTAGTGCAACGAGAGGATAAAGTTATTTTAAAGTTTCAAAGAACCCAGCAGTCAATAGCAACATGTTCTGTGTCCAGGTGATTAGTTTACAAATCTAAGCAGGTCCTTGACAGTTTAATATTTCTCTGAAAATCTTTAGGGCCAGGTTTCACAACAGCACTTGGTTGAATATTCATTCATATGCACTGTTTTCCCATTTTCTTAAAATGCCAGTAGTTCCAGGATTTACTATACTTTTATCAGATTCATATCTCAAGACTAAACTTGAATTCTACCAAGTCATCAATGAGATATTATGAGAAAAAAACAAATGAAGTACATGCTAATTCTTCTCAAAAGCTAGGTTTATAACTGAGTATTTCAGTGAAAAACTCACTTGGCTTCTAAATTTATCTATACTGCTTTGACCGAGCCACTGAGAAATTACTTCTGATATATAGGCTTGTGGGAAATATTTTGTGTGTTCATTTGAAAATATCTAAAAAGGAATAAAAATTTCAAGAGCAGATTGACTTAACTAATTTATGATCTCCTAATTTAGCAAAAATGCTAAAGCAAAAGCAATTCTATGAATTACAGTAGCATGTTTATGCTGTGTTCTGATACTGTAGATTTTATCTTTTTTTCAACTGAACTTTGAACATGCTCTAACACCTCTGCTGTGAAGAGATGAACTGAGAAACAAGCAGAATATTAAACATCCACTTATATGCTTCCCCAGGGAGTCTTCTGCTAATATTACACATTGCAACAACATTGCTTGAATGGTTTAGTAATGGCAGCAAAACAGAGTGAATGCTACATATAATGACCGGTTATTTATACTCTGCCTAACTTCTAGATAGCTTTAGAAGCCTTACAGAGATACACTTAAACCACTAGTAATACAAAAAAAAAAGAAAATGAAATGGGACAAACTGCCTTTGGATATGCAAAAGAATCGGAATGATGTGTTTTAATTCCACGAGAACTAAACTGTGGATAGTTGTCCTGTGAGTCTAAATTTATAAACATCTACATCCTATTTTTGTTCCAGGGCTTAAAATATATCCATGAGTATGTCAAACCATTATTTCAGGTGAAAAGAAAGTCCTGACTTTAAAAGTAGTAATCAGTGTATCCAACCCAAGACCTGGTGCATCTTGGCATTCCCAGTTCTCCATGAAGAACTTCCTTCTAAACCTTAGTGCCTGAGAAAGTTAGAACTGAAAGAAAAGGATGGGAGAAAAGGGAGAAACATAGAGATGGTAGAATAGCAATGATTACCCATTTTCTCATTTGCAAACTTTATCTGGGAGGGTAAAGATACTCTTTGATGACTTCTTGACCTTCCACTCGCCCACCTCTGAGGTCAAATATCTATCAGCAAACTGTCGATCAGGTCAAATATCTTGTAGTAAAAATACATATTTACATGGAGTTTTTATGGAAACACAAACTTGATAAAATATATCCAATGAAAGGAAAATTCTCAGACTGGAATACATCCTTCTATTCCTGGAAGCTGCCCCAACCCACACCTACCTAAATCCTTTACATATCTAATTTTAACATATCTAGACTCAGATATGTTGTATTCTTTGGTCGGTTTGTATAATGACTCAAAAATGTTGTGATTTATATTCTCTCTGCTATCTTCTAAGGAAGGTAGATTTCCAAAAGATATCTGGGGTATCTTTTTTCTGTTGAATGGAGGGATGGGTGAAGGCATGTAAGTTTGGATGAGTTGGGGCATAGATATGTTACTCTGAGTAAGAAAGATCCAGGGGTTGGGGACCAGAACTGGGAAATGTACAGACTATGGGAAAAGTGAAGAGGTAACAGGAAGACCAACACGAAGGGCCACACTGAGACTTAGAAAGAGAAGACCAAGGAGGGGGTTTGCAGTACAAAGCTGATTGTCGTGCACTGTATTTTCACCCCTCACTCCCTTCTATATATCCTCAAGGAAATCAGCGTCACTCATCAATGCCTGATGGAGTCCATTTTCATCTTGAAGAATGCAAAGAAATACTGCATCTTACTTGGAAGGTAGTAAGTATGGGAGTGGGAGGCACAAAAACAAAGATGAATGTGAAGGCAGACATCATCTGGGGTATGTATGACACAAAAATAAATTATCCACTTTTTCATTTATTTTTTAAAATTATCAGGTACCTAATGCCTTCCAGAAAATTCATGCATAGGTTATATCAGGAATCTTCTGGTTGCAAGTGATAGAAACTAATGATTCAGAAAAAAAGAGACCCTCTCTTTTTCAGTTTCTGTACATCAAATCTCAAGAGTCTCTAATTGGCCACGGTTATTCGCACATCCCTGAACAAATTACTGTGTCCAGGAATGTGGAATACTCTGACTGATCCAACATACAATTGCCTCTAGAAATTAATAAAAGTTAATGAAATGAAGAATCAATGACTTTATTTTGTTTTACAGTCAGTTTCCATTTTTACCTCTTTAACTATATTATAAGCACTTTAAGGACAGAAATTAAACATTATTAGTCTTTGAACCCTCAGCACCTAGTATAATACATGAACTAATACAGGCACTAAATAAATGTTTGATAATTGAATTAATGAATATTCTGGACCATTTGCTCTTCCTCTTTCTCCAATGCTCATTAGTCCCATCCCATCTTCAATAGTCCCCTCCCCAGCCTACACCTTCTTCCACTTCCCTGAGAATAAAAGATTAATTGTAAGTAATCAACCTTTTCATTTGTAACATCTCAGAAGTTGGTGATTGGTTGAACACATTTTATGAAAAACTAGTAGAATGTTCAATTTTAGGTAAATTCATAATTTAAGCACAAATTTAAGTACCTAAATCACATGAAAGTTATACTTAGCTTGGAAACATTTACAAATTTCAAGTTTATTTCAAGCCCTTAAGAACTTACTGCTGCAAAATATGCTGTAACTGTAGGTTATGATCTCAGCAGAAAGCCTGATTGACTTATGCCTTATTAGTCTAACTGTCCCTATTCATCATTCCATGTTTAAGTAATGCGAAGTTTCATCAACGTTGCCAAAAGACAATGTTAATTGTAAAAACGGGAGGAAAAAACAAGTTGCAATGACATTGACATATTTTTAATATAAGACATCCCATCAAAAAGTTTGTTGTTCTCATCTGAATAATTTATTAAGATTGTGTATGTGTGTTTTCGTGTGTGTGTGTATATATATTTATTTACTTGTACTGTGTGTATGTATTTCCATTATAACAAAAGGATTGAAAACAACAGTATCTTTAATAAAACAGAAGTATATTTTTTTTCTCACAAAACAGTTCAGCTAGAAGATCCAGGGCTGATACGATTGCCACAAGAATCAGAGACCCAGCTCCTTTTATCTACAGCCCCTGAGGACTTCATGCTCACATTCCAGCCAGGAGGAGGCAGAAATACTTCCTTGGGCAAATTTTACTTCTTTCTTTTAAGGGCACAGTATGGATATTGCACCCATCACTGCTACTCTTATTACATTAGAACTTAGTTGCTTGGTCACAACTAGCCACAAAGAAGGCTGGGATACGACCTTTAGGTAGGTAGCCATGTGCTCAGGTAGATATCTTTTAGCATATGTATTTTACTAGAAAGGGAGAACGGCCATTGGGGGATAACCACAATCTCTGGTAGTGTGTTTTGTTGTTGTTGTTGTTGCTGTTCCTTTATAATAAAATGAGATTTTTGTTCCAACTATCTATCCAATAAAGACTCAAACATCTATAAAATCTCTGTAGTCAATTCACCAAAATCTGTTTTAGTCAGGGTTCTCCAGAGAAACAGAACAAATAGGAGAGAGAAAGACAGAGAGAGAGAGATTGAAAAAGAAAGAGAGAGATTGAGAGAGAGAGAGATAGAGAGAGAGAGAGAGAGAGAGATGAGCAGGGAGTTATTAGGGGAATTGGCTCACTCAATTCTGGAGGCTGAGAAGTCCCGTGACAGGCCATCTGCAAGCTGAAGAGCCAAGGAAGCTGGTAGCATGGCTCAGTCCAGGTCCAAAGGCCTCGGAACCAAGGAAGTCAATGGTGTACCCCTGTCTGAAGCAGAAAGCCCAAAAGCCCAGGGGGCCACTGGTGTGAGTCCCAGAACCCAAAAGCCAGAGAACCTGGAGTTCTGATGTCCAATGGCCAGAGAAGAGAGACAGCAAGAATGCACCCTTCCTTCACCTTTTTGTTCTATCCAGACCCCCAGCCAATTGGATGGTGCCGGTGCACATTGAGGGCAGATCTTCCCCTGCCAATCCACCAACTCAGATACCAATCTCCTCCAGAAACACCCTCACAGATATACCTGGGGCAACCCAATTATTCTAATCAAATGCCAAACCACCAGGGTTTCCTTTTCACAAAAGAGGGACAGCCTCAGTACTGACTGAAGCATTGAGAATAAATAATGCAATGATTAGGAATAAATAATGCTTTACCAGCAATCTGGGTATCCTTTAATTCAGTCAAATTGACAACCAAAATTGACTATCAGAAGTCCACCCCTTGTCAACTTGGTACCATACTCACCTCTTTAAACCACACTTAATCTCCGAATAAAGACAATAACAAGGCTATAGTTCCTCCTAGCATGATACAATTATCCTGTGTACAACCAAAAATACACTAATCCCTTTTCCAGAAGAGGAAATAAAGTCCTTAAATGATGTTTACTCCTCTTCTGATATCCCACAATGTAAATATTATGATATAAAATTAATAATACTTAAATACTCATATAAACTCAATACATTTTACATTATATGAGAAAGGAATTAGGAAGGAAGAAAAAGATATTTTCTTTGTATATACATTTATATATGTATATATACACATACATACATATTTATTATATATATACACTCATGCACATACATGTATATGAATACATACAAAAATATTATTAACAAAATAGAGAGAAAGTACTCATGGCAATTACAGACTGCATGTCTGTAACTACTAATCATGTGGTTGTAGCTGGTATTTATAACCACCTTCTTCTATTACCCAATCTATATTCCCTTTCTCTTCAGCAAGCACCTCAGCTAATTATGGTTCTTTACCTGGCAGGGTGACACAAACCTTCATTCCTGAAGGATCTGAGTCATTCCTAGTCCTGCCCAAATATGGTTGTTGTAATTTCCCATTGATCTTAATCACAAGGCCTGGCAATACTAAGAGACTCTCTGAGAGACATCCTGTATTCCCGACATACTCTTCCTTACTTCCATTGTGGAGTAGCAGTCCACATCAATCACCCCAGACAACACCTTTACTCTCCTCTCAGCCTGCTGAGTCAGAGGCATGAGGACCCCAGAGTGGCCAGGTGGCAGTCTTAACTTCCAGCTCCATGCAATCTTTGCTGTGTCTCCTGGTGGGAGTAGTTTTCCCTCTGGGACAAAGACTGCCAGACCACCAGAGCATAAAGTTGTAAGAACCAGAAGCAAAAATTTTGCCAGTGGGTCATTAGGGGTAATGGTGAGTAATGTCATTCCCATTTCCTCTTAATCCCTAGACCCATTGCTTCTGGCTATGCGAGAAACAGTAACAATATTGGGCACTAATTCAGAGCATGTACAGCCTTCTGGAGAACATGGTCCAGGCCCTGAAAAGACTTGTCACCTAGCTGGCACTGTAACAGACTGATGGGGAAGACGGTAAGACCAGTGAATTCCAAGAGCAAGGGCCCATTGCTGCACTTCTTTGGCTGTGAGTAGGCTGTGTGTGCTATCACCCTCAGGACACTGAATGAAAAAGATCAAACAGCAATGCCCATAAGTTAACATAAGATGAGATGAGACGCAGGGATGTTTTATTGGCACTGTACAGGAAGTGTCATGGCAGCACAATGGGGTTTTATTTTTCAACTTGAGCTTGAAAGACAGAATGACTCTGTCAAAAGCAATGCTAAATAAATGCTCTTCCCAACATCACCGCTGTCAGCAAAACATAATGGCAGAGAGAACAAACTCCCAAAGAAAACCCAGAAGCACCAGGATCAGATGAGAGAGAGATAAATATGACATCTTTTCCTGGGGTTGACAAGGAAAGTAGGGGGAAACCACTGTCCAGATTATAGTTTGGGAGGAGTAAAGCTTTCTGGAGAAATAAATTTGTAACTATTTAGTATTAAAAGACCATGTTTTGAGTATGTGCATAAGAAAATATTTATTATAAAATTTCTTGATGTCAGAAGCAGACTTTTTTTTTTTTTTTTTTTTTGACAGAGTCTTGCTCTGTCACCCAGTCTGGAGCACAGTGGCATGAATATGGCTACCTTCTGGGATCAAGCGACCCTCCAGCCTCAACCCTGACACACCTGGCTAATTTTTGTTTTTTTCTTTAATAGAGACAGAGTCTCACCATGTTTCCCAGGCTGGTCTTGAACTCCTGGGCTCAAGTGATCCACCCACCTTGGCCTCCCTCAGTGCTGGGAATACAAGCATTAGCCACCATGCCCAGCCCAGAAGCAGACTTTTTTTTTTTTTTCACCCAGGCTGGAGTGCAGTGGCACTATCTCAGTTCACTGCAACCTCTGCCTCCTAGGTTCAAGCGATTCTCTTGCTTCAGCCTCCCGAGTAGCTGGGCACCTGCCACTTTGCCCAGCTAATTTTTTATTTTTAGTAGAGACAGGGTTTCACCATGTTGGCCAGGCTGGCCTTGAACTCCTGACCTCAGGTGGTCCACCCACCTCGGCCTCCCAAGGATGCTGGAATTATGGGCATGAGCCATCGTGCTCAGCCAGAAACAGACATCTTAAAATAGCAGTGAAGTGAAAGAATGCATGGGACCCACAGAGGACCACATTCTCTGCCACAAGTTGGCCAGGCCTTGGAAAAAAGTAATCCAGTATGGCCTCGCTAACAGCTGTCATCAGTCCTGTAGCAAAAAAGACTGTAGATCATCATCAGGTACCACTCTCTGCATATTCTTTGTAAATTGTTATACATAAATATATTTAATTATCTGTAGTTTTCATTGCAGAGATAGTTTAGTCATTCTAAACAGGCTATTTTGCCTTCTTCATAAAGCCACAAGGTAAAGAGCCCCTCTCTCCAGACTTCTACTTTAGGAAATACTACCGCAAGCACCCAAAGATGAGTGTATAAGGATGTTTATTGCATCCGTACACAACAGAAATGCACATGGTCATTAAAAAGAAGAAAGCAAATAAATGTAGAGAATAGTCTAATTTATTCTCCTAAATGCTCATAAATGCATATAACCTTTCTGAAAAAATTAGAGGGAGTGGGGCAGGGACTTAACACCTTCACCTTCTTACATTCTGAACTATTTTGAGTTTTTATTATAAATAAACATTAGTTTTTAAAACTAGCTAATAAAAACAATTCCTTCAGGGCACTGGCATATAAATATCTGAAATGACAAGACGTCCTTCCCCCAGGCCATGATTCTAGAACAGGCATTACCAGGTCAGCAGTATCTCCCAGAGAATATTGCCTTCACAGGATATATTGCTGTCTGATTCTAACAAATGTTACATTGGCAGCTAGAAATCCCTGGACTTGAGGATGTGGCCTCAATCTCACCAATCATCCTTAATGTAAGCATCTTTTTATTTTCTCCATTATGAAAAGGGACCCTGAGGTATCTCTTATGCTCCCAGCAGCCAAATCCAAAGCTCCTGGCTGCAGAAAGTC
Organism: Homo sapiens; assembly: GCF_000001405.40. Classification (NCBI taxonomy): domain Eukaryota; kingdom Metazoa; phylum Chordata; class Mammalia; order Primates; family Hominidae; genus Homo; species Homo sapiens. The sequence goes on along the minus strand of NC_000004.12, from coordinate 83,749,191 downwards.
ATGGAAAATGCTATGAGAAGCACATGTGGGGAAATGATTGAACCCTTGAATTCAGAATTGTAGAGGTTCATCCTTCTGGCATGAACTCTGAAATCTGAAAGTTCTGAGCTCTTTTCCTGTCTCTACCACATCTTAGGTATGTAGCCCTGCACAATTTATTGATTTTGTCTCTGCTTTGTCACCTGTAAGTCACCATACTATAGCCTAACTCATTTAGACCTTGTGAGAATTAGGTCAGTGAATGCATGGAAAGCTTTTCACAAGTACCTGAGCAAAGTCCTGTGATTTCTGTAAGCCCCAGCCAACTATCTAGGTGCAGGTTTTCCTACAAGATAATCAAGCCACGCGCCTGGTTTATGTTAGCCAATGTCTATTAATGCTAACAGTCTACAATATATTAAGTTTTCTATGGAAGTCAGAATGAAGAGAAAACATAAATGAGACTGTCATCATAGAACCTGAGTCAACAATTCAACTCAATATTTACTCAGAGTCTACTATTACAAAGCACAGTGACTGGCTGAAGATTTTTAAACATACACCATATTCTACCATTCAGGAGCTCATAAACTTATGGTAAAGCTAAGTCAAAAGTGAATATTCTTTAATTCACAACCAAACAGCATGCTTATGAAAGAATAGAGAAGGGAAAGCAATTTCAACTGAGGGAACATGAAGAGATTTTATGGAGGAGTTATGATTTGAACTAAGTTTTGCAGAATGGCAGCTTTGAAGGAAAGAACATCCAAAGGAAATAGAACAGTGTGTGTAAAGATGTGGAGAATGCGGAATGCAGAGTCTATTTGGGAATAAGTTTACTAGGGCTGCCACAACAAACTATCACAGACCATGTGGCTTAAATAAGAGAAATTTATTTCTCACAGTTCTGGAGGCTGGAAGTCCAAGATCAAGGTGTTGGCAGGTGTAGTTTATTCTGAGGCTTCTCTGCTTGGTTTGCAGATGGCCACCTTCTCACTGTGTCCCCACATGGTCTTCAGTCTGTGCACAAACACCTCTGGTGTCTCTTTGTGTGTCCAAATTTCCTCTTCTTATGAAGACACCAGTCAGATTGGATTGGGGCTTACTCTAAAGACTTCATTTTAACTTAATTATCTCTGTAAATACCTTATCTTCAAATATAGCCACATTCCGAGTTACTGAGAGTTAGAACTGCAATGTATAAATTTTAGGGAAATACAGCTCAGCCCATAACGCTGTGACCTCTGGCCCTCCAGAATTCATGTCCTTCTCACATGCAAAATACACTCACTTCCATCCCAACAACCCCAAAATCTTATCATATTCCAGCATCAACTATTATGTCCCAAATCTTATCTAAATATCATCTAAATCAAGTTTGAGTGAGACTCAAGTTTGATTCATCCTGAGGCAAATGTTTTGTCCACCTGTGCACTTGTGAAACTAGACAGGTTATCTGCTTCCAAAACACAATAGTGGGACAGGCATAGCATAGACATTCTCATTTCAAAATGAAAAAATCAGAAAGAAGGGGTCATAAGTCCCAAGGAAATCTGAAACCTAGCAAGGCAAATTCCATTAGACTTTAAGCCTCCTTAATAGTCCTCTTTGGCTCTGTATTCTGTCCTCTGGCCCACAGAGATGACAGTCCCAACTTCCAGGCTCACCGGTTCAGCAGTGTCACCTCTGCAGCCCTGGTATCTCTTCACTGGCCCAAATTTTCTCTTCTTATGAGGATACCAGTCAGATTGGATTAGGGACCACCCTAAAGATTTCATTTTTAACTGAACTCCTTTAAGTCCTAATCTCCAACTACAGTCACATTTTGAGATGCTGGGGGTCAGGACTGCAATATGGAAAATTGGGAGGGATACAATTCAGCCTATAACAAAAACAAGTAATGTGATGGAAGTAAATAATGCATGAGAAAGCACATGGGAAGCAGGAGATAAAATAACAGGTAAAATAATGCAAACATTGAGTTCTTATTATAAACCAGGCACTATTCTAAGAGCTTGTTTACACAAGTCACTTAAGCCTCACAATGGCCCTACAAAGTAGGTATTATTATTATTCCTATTTTCCAGAAATGAAACTGAGGCACAGAAAGAAGAATGGAACCAGGAGCTCCCATTCCAAGATTAATGCTCTTAATTTCTACACCGTATTATCTGAGGGAAAGCAGAAAGTGGACATGTTATGGAGCACTCTCAAGGCCAATCTTAGAAGGCTGGGCTTAATTCTGTAAGAAATGGAAAGCCAATGGTAATGAGCAAGGGAGTATAACAATCTTTTTTTCTTTTTTCTTCTTTTTTCCGTTTCCTTTCTTTTCTTCTTTCTCTTTCTTTCTCCCTTTCTTTCTTTCTTTTTCTTTCTGAGAACACCAAAAGCAATTTGTAGAATGGACTGAAATGGAAATAAACCAGGGCATCATTATGTTATCTAAGGAAGATTATAGAAACTTTGATTTCTAGTATTGGATGTAGGTCACCTCATAGAAAAAACAAAGTAATTTTTGTAATACATGAACAAAGTCCAATGATTTTAAGAGGACAAGTTTATTACCATCATTACAGGTTCATGATGGGTTCTAAATAATCCACCTAGTTGTTCTGGTTCTTTTTCTTTCCCTTATATTAATAGCAAAATAACAGTAGTAAGAACTCATTTCTTCTTAATAATAGTATTAGCTATTTAGCCATGGTAATGTTTAGTGTGTGTTTAGTTGGCTTTTATTGTTGCTGTTTCCTGAATTGTATCATTTCCTTCCCACATCAACTCTGTGAGGTGATTTTTGCACACGTGGAAACTGAAGTATAAAGAGGATTGATACCTTAGTGAAAAGCATGGTGGCCATAAAATAGACATTATCATATTAAGGTCTAACTACCTATAGAGTCTGAGCTCTTGAACACATGGCAGAATTTTTAACAATTTTATTGGGGTATGATTGGCATATAATAAACCATACATATTTAAAATGCATAATTTGTCAAGTTTTGACATAAATATATACCTGTGGAACCATCACCAAATCAAAATACTGAACATATTCCTAGGACTTTTACTAATTTTATCATATAATATACACCCTTTTTACTGGCTTCTTTTACTCAGCATTAAGACCTTTGAAATTCCATCCATGTTGTTGCACTTCCATTCATTTTATTATAAGAAATATTCCACAATTTCTTTATCCATTCACACATTGATGGACATTTGGGTTATTTCCAGTTTGAGGCTACTACAGAAAAAGCTGACATAATCTTGGTACAAGTTTTTGTGTGGACATTCATTCCATTCCTCTTAGGTAAATGCCTAAAAATAGAATGGCTGGGTCATATGGTAACTTTACGTTTTTAAGAAATTGCCAGACTCTTTCCCAAAATGGTTGTATCACTTTATATTGCCAGTAGGGAATAAGAGTTTCTCCACCTTCTTGTCAACATTTCAAATGGTCAGTCTTTAAGTTTAGATATTTCAATAGGCCTGTAGAGGTATTTCACTGGGGTTTTAATTTGCATTCTCCTAATGACTAATAATGTTGAGCATCTTTTCTTATTTGCCATTCATGTCTTTTTCGGTGAAGTGTCTGTTCAAATATATTACCCACTTTTTAAATGGGTTTATTATTACTATTATGAGAGTTTTGACAGTTCTTTGTATATTCTGAATATAAGTATTTATCAGATATTCAACTTGCAAATACTTTCTCCTAGTTTGTAGTGCCTTTTCATTCTCTTAACAATATTTTATGAAGAGCAGAGGTTCTTAATTTTGATTAAGTCCAATTTATCCATTTTTTCTTTTATGGATCATGTTCTGGTGTTGTTTTTTATGGATTATTTGCCTAAATCATGCTCACAATGATTTTCTTCCATTATTCTTCTATAAGATTTATAGTTTTAGGTTTTACAACTGTCTGTCATTCATTTTTAGTTTATTTCTTCCTAGTTCATGGTATATATCCAAGTCCATTGTTTCGTACATGGAGATCCAATTGTTCCAGCAACATTCGTTGTAAAGGCTATCTTTCCTCCATGAAATTGACTTTGCCATTTAGAAAAAATTTGCCATATATGTGTGGGTCAATTTCTGGACTCTATTATGTTCTGTTAATCCATATGCCTATCTTGACACTAATATCATACTGTCTTGATTAATATAATTATATAATAGGACTTCAAGTGAGAAAGGGTAAATTCTCCAACTTTGTTCTTATTTGATATTGTTTTGGCAAGTCCATATCCTTTATATTTTCATATGGATTTTAGAATCAATTTTTAAATTTATACAATTTAATTAATTTGTTGACAGTACTGAGTCTTCCAATTTATAAACAGATATATCTTTCAACTTATTTAAGTCTAGGTATTTTATTTTATTTGCGACTATTGTAAATGGTATTACTTTTTTTCAGAATGGTCACTTTTGGCATATAGATATGCTACTGACTTTCATAGGTTGATTTTGTAGCCTGTGACTTTACTGAAATTGTTTATCAGTTCTAATAGTTTTTTGGTTAAGTCTTTAGGTTTTTCCAAATATAAGATCATGTCATTTGCAAACAAGGGTAATTTGACTTCTTCCTCTCGAATTTGGATGCCCTTTATTTCTTTCTCTTGTCTGATTGTTCTAGTTGGGATTTCCAGTATTATATTGAATAACAGTGGTGATGGTGGGCATCCTTGTCATGTTCCAGATCTTAAAGGAAAGCCTTTCTGATTTTCCCCATTTAATATGATACTAGCTGTGGGTCTATCATATAAGGTTTGTATTATGTTGAGATATGTTCCTGCTATACCCAGTTGTTTGAGGGTTTTTATCATGAATGGATGTTGAATTTTATAAAATGCTTTTTCAGCATCAAATGAAATGATCATGTGGTTTTTGTCCTTCCTTTGGTTGACATGATAGATCACATTGATTGATTTGCGTATGTTGAACTATCTTTGCATCCCTGGGATAAATCCTACTTGGTTATAATGAATGATCTTTTTAATATATTGTTGAGTTCAGTTTGCAAGTATTTTGTTGAGGATATTTATATCAATACTCATCAAAGATATCGGCCTGTAGTTTTCTTTTTTTCATGTGTCTTTGTCTACTTTCGTTATCAGAGTGATACTGGCCTCATAGAATGAGTTTGGAGGTATTCCCTCTCCTCCTCTATTTTTTAGAATAGTTTGAGTAGGTTTGGTATTAATTCTTCTTTAAATGTTTGGTAGAATTCAACAGTGAGTCCATCAGGTCCTGGGCTTTTGCTTAGTGGGAGACCTTTTATTACAGCTTTGATCTCATTATTTGTTATTGGTCTGTTCAGGTTTTGGATTTCTTCATGGCTCAATCTTGGTAGGTTGTATGTATCTATCTATTTCCTCTAGATTTTCCAATTTATGGTTATATGGTTGCTCATAGCCAATAATGATTTTCTGAAGTTCTGCAGTATCAGTTGTAATGTTCCTTTTTCATCTCGGATTTTATTTATTTGGGTCTTCTCCATTTTTCTTTGTCAATTTTGTTTATCTTTTCAAAAAAAACCAACTGTTCGTTTCATTGATCTTTTGTATTTTTTCATTTCAAATTCATTTATTTCTGCTCTGATCTTTATTATTTCTTTTCTTCTACTAATTTTGCATTCGCTTTGCTCTTGCTTTTCTAATTCCTTCAGATGAATCATTAAGTTATTTATTTAAAGTTTTTCTTCTTTTTTGATGTAGGCACTTATAGCTATAAATTTCTCTTAGTACTACTTTCACTGTATCCCATAGGTTTTGGTATGTTGTGTTTCCATTATCATTTGTTTCAAGAAATTTTTCAATTTTCTTCTTAATTTCTTCTTTGACCCACTGGTCATTCGGGAGCATATTGTTTAATTTCAACGTGTTCATATAGTTTCCAAAATTCCTCTAGTTGGTTTCCAGTATTCAATTGTGGTCAGACCTCAAGCTATGAAACTGCTACAAGAAAACATTGGGCAAACTCTCTAGGACACAGGTCTGGGTGAAAAATTCTTGAATAATATCCCACGAGTGCAGATAACCAAAGCAAAAATGCAGAAATGGGATTACATCAAGTTAAAAAGCTTCTGCAAGCAAAGGATACAATCAACAAAGGAAGAGACAAACCACAGAATTGGAGAAAATATTGCAAACTACCTATTTGATAAAGGATTAATAACCAGAATTTATAAGGAGCTCAAAAATTCTACAGGAAAATATCTAATAATCTGATTTAAAATGGGCAAAAGATCTGAATAGACATTTCTCAAAAGGAGACATACAAATGACAAGTAGACATCTGAAAAGATGCTCAACATCATTGATCATCAGAGAAATGCATATCAAAACTACAATGAGATATCATCTCACCCGGTTACAATGGCTTTTACCCAAAAGACAGCAATAAGAACTGCTGGAAAGGATGTAGAGAAAAGGGAACTATTGTACACTGTTGGTAGGAATGTAAACTAGTACAAACCCTATAGAGAACAGTTTGGAGGTTCCTCAGGAAAACTAAAAATATGATCCAGCAATCTCACTGCTGGATATATACCCAAAAGAAAGGAAATCAGCATATCAAAGAGATATCTGCGCTCCCACTTTTATTGCAGCACTGTTCACAATAGCCAAGATTTGGAAGCAACCTAAGTGTCCATCAACAGATGAGTGGATAAAGAAAATGTGGTTCTTGTACACAATGAAGTACTATTCAGCCATAAAAAAAAAATGAGATCCTGTCATCTGCAACATCATGAATGAAACTGGAGGTCATTATGTTAAGTGAAATAAGCCAGGCACAGAAAGGCAAACTGCATGTTCTCACTTATGTGTGGGATTTAAAAATCAAAATAATTTAACACATGGAGATAGAGAGTAGAAGGATGGTTACCAGAGGCTGGGAACGATATGGGGAGGTGTAAGGGAAATGAGGATGGTTAATAGACACAAAACAAAAGTTAGAAAGAGTGAATAATACATAGCATTTGGTAGCACAACAGAGTGACTATAGTCAAAATAATTTAATTGTACAGTTTAAAATAACTAAAAGACAGTGAGCCGAGATCATGCCACTGCAGCCTAGGCAACAGAAAGAGACCCTGTCTCGAAATTATTAATTAAGAGAGTATAATTAGATTGTTTGTAATACAAAAGATAAATGCTTGAGGGACTGGATACCCCATTTTCCATGATGTGATCATCACACATTGCATGCCTGCATCAAAATATTGTCTATACTCCATAATGATATACACGTACTATATACTCATAAAAAGTAAGAATGGATTTTGGATTTTATCTAATGCTTTTACTGCATCTTTTGAGATGATCACATGAGAGCATCTACTTAGTCTGTTAATATGATAAATTTCACTAAATTCCATCACTTGATTTTCAAATGTTATACCCGCCTTGCTTTCCAGAGACAAACTCCACTTGATCATGATGCATTATCATTTTTACATATTACAGCATTCAATTTGCTATTTTTAAAATTAGAGATGGGGTCCCACTATGTTGTCCAAACTGGAGTGCAGTGGCTATTCACAGTGCTATCAGTTTCCCTCTAAGTACTGCTTCAGCAGCATCTCAAAAATTTTGATATATTGTGTTTTTATTTTCATTCAGTTCAAAGCATTTTCTAATTTCCTTCTTTATTTATTCTTTGAAATATGGGTTATTTAGAAATGTGTTATTTTGTTTCCAAATTCTTAGAAATTTTCCAGATATTTTTCTGTTATTGATTTCTAATTTATTTCTATCATGGTTAGAGAAGGTACTTTACATGACTTGAAGCCTCTTAAATTTATTGAGATTCATTTAGTAGTCCAGACATAGAATATCTTGGTAAATGTTCCTTGTGCTTTGAAAAAGAATGTGTATCCTGCTGTTGTTGGGAAAAGCTCCCTATAAATATCACTTGGGTCAGGTTGGTTGGTAGCGTTATTCAAGTCTTCTATAACCTAACTGATTTTCCATTTGTTCTATTAACCATTAAGAGATAGAAAATCTCTGACTATAATTGAAATGTTGAAATCGCTCACTCTAATTATGGATTTGTATTTTTTTCTTACAGTTCTTTCTGTTTTTGTTTTGTTTTTTTCATGTAGGTTGAAGTAGTGTTATTTGGGTCACAAATATTTCAGATTGCTATGTTCTCATGTTGAGTACATGAGGCCAGGAGGGGAAAACTAGACATATACTATTAAGTTTCTTTTATTCTATGTTCTGTGGTATAATATCACATGAAGGTAAACTATGATAAGCTAAAGATGTACACTACAAACTCTAAAACAACCAATAAAATACGACAACAAAAACATAGTTAACATTAAAGAAAGAAGAGAGAATTCATTTAGTAGTCTAGACATAGAATATCTTGTTGGTAAATATTCCTTGTGCTTTTAAAAAGAATTTGTATCCTGCTGTTGTTGAGAAAAGTTCCCTATAAATATCACTTGGGTCAGGTTGGTTGTAACACCTTTAATAAATGAAATTATTGCAGTATATTATAGTATAGTATAGTATAGTATAGTATAGTATAGTATAGTATTTAAAGGAGATAAAAATTATATATATAAAGGTAATGCCTTTAACAAATAAAATTATATTATTTATCCTTGGGAAAACTCCTTGCTATAAAATCCATTTTCTTTGATACCAAGGGCCATTTCAGTTTGTTTGTTTGTTTTTAATTAGTGCTAACATGGTGTGTCTTTTCTATCCTTTTACTTTTTGTGCCTTTACATTTAAAGTTGAGGTCGGGGGACTGGAGGCAGTATACAGTTAGGTCTTTCTTTTATATCAAATCTGATAATCTTCCTTTTAATTACATTGTTTAGACCATTTGCATTTACTATGGTGATTGACATGCTGATGTTTAAATCTGCAGTCTTACTATTTGTTTTGTATTTGTCCCATCTCCTTTTTGTTTCCTCTTTTCTGCTTTCTTTGGAATTATTTGTCTAATTTTTGTTATTCTATTCTCTCTTCTCTGTTTAATGTTAACTTTGTTTTTGCTGTTTTATTTTATTGGTTGCTTCAGAGTTTGTAGTATACATCTTTAGCTTATCATAGTTTACCTTCGTGTGATATTATATCAGAGAATATAGAATAAAAGAAACTTACAATAGTATATAGTTTTCCCCTCCTGTCCTTTGTGCTATTATCAAAAATTTTATACATAGGTTTTAAACTCCAAAATACATAGTTATTATTTGTAATTTAAACAGTTGTTTGTGATTTAAAGAAATTTAAATAATAAGAGAAAAAAATATTTACCTATGCAGTTACCAGCTCTGGACCTTTTATATAGATCTCAATTTCCACCTTGTATCATTATGTTCTGCTTGAAAGTCTTTCTTTCAATGGTTTGGGCTTTTGTTTGGTTTGGTTTGCTTTGGTAGTACAGGTCTTTTTATGATTAATCCTTTCAGTTTTTTTAATATATGAAAGCATATTTATTTCATCTTTATTTTCAAATACATGCAATCCTTACGCTGCCCAGTTCAAATATAAATAGATTTCAGTTACCACTGTTTAGCTAAAAAATTACCACTCTTTAGTAAAAACAGTCCGCCAATAACATGGTTTAAATTTCAGCTATCATGGTATATGAACTATGAGTAACTGCATAAAATACAAATTTTGCTACTAGCTCCTCAGACCACTAATGAGTAAATGACAGTCAGCAAAGCATGTAGTTGTGACGCCTCCTTGTTTCCTAGTGATAAACTCATGTAATGTTGCATAAAAATGAATACTTCCCCATCTCTACTAAAAACACAAAGATTAGTCAGGTGTGGAGGCATGCACCTGTAACCCCAGCTACTTGGGAGGCTGAGACAGGAGAATCACTTGAACCCAGGAGGAAGAGGTTGCAGTGAGCTGAGATTGTGCCACCGCACTCCAGCCTGGGCAATAGAGCAAAAATCCATCTCAAAAAAAACAAAAAAGAATACTCAAGAAAGGGAATTGGCAAAAATAATAATAATAATAAATAAAAAATAATGCAGGTACCACAAAGAAACCAAAAGTAATAATGTTGGAATGATGGAAATGCAAACAACATGAATAGAGTTAGCAAAGAACTAGCTGACTGCGGAAATGTTGACATTGCCACTGTTTGAAGGACTCTAGATATGCAGCAAAGTGAGCTTAGTGAAGGTGAACGTATTGACAAATGAGTAAAGTGATTTTCATAAAAAAAGAAAGATGTCCAGGGGAAGTGATACCAAAAATTTCACATCAAAGGAACTCTTAAAGATATTTCAAACACTGAAGGAGAAATGGATAAAATATTAGAAGTTAATCTGAACTAGAAGAAGTATGGCAATTTACCAAGGTATAGAAAAGATGTTCATTTCATGTAGTAAGTTACATAAAAAGAAGGCAAGCACTGTTAAAACTACTCTTGGTAAATTTTTTACAAAGAAATAAACATTAATTTTCAATGTGTTTAACGTTTCTGATTACAGTGACCCAATTAGATGTTAGTTTTACTATTTTTTTATACATTTATAAGTGACATTAAGAAAGTTTTTAGTATTTTGGTAAGAATTCTTAACAGTCAACTGGGCACAATGGTTCACTCCTGTAATCTCAGCACTTTGGAAGCCGAGTCAAGCAGACTGCTTGACCTCAGGAGTTTGAGGCCAGCCTGGGCAACATGGTGAAATCCCATCTCTACAAAAAATACAAAAAACTAGCCAGGTGTGGTAGTGCGTGCTTGTGGTCCCAGCTACTCAGGAGGCTGAGGTGGGAGGTTCACTTGAACCTTGGAGGTCAAGACTGCAGTGAGCCAAGATCGGATCACTGCACTCCAGCCTAGGCAACAGAGTGGGACTCTATGTCCAATGTCTTGAGAACTATGGTTTCATATATTTTATACAATATTCCAGTTGTTTCAGTTAGGAAAATAAATTCAGTCTCCAACTTAGCCAGAAGTAGAAGTCAAAGTATCTAAAACTTGTATCCGGATTTTTCAAACTATACCTCAGTTCTTCACTTGTTTTAGAAACAAATTCCTCCGTCTTCATTATTCATTTTCTAGTATATCTTTTTTGTGATTTAAATAAAACTTAAAGGACTATTTGTATGTAATATGTCCTAAGACCAAAAATAAAAAACCCAACTATAAAAGAAACTAATAGAACACTAAAAGGAATGATACACACAAAAGACCAAATGGAAACATTAAATGTGCTGCTTTAGATATCCTACCTTCATTACCAGCATGTACCAGCAGTTTATCATTTGATGAAATGTTGGAGGGAAATTTACAAACCAATAAACATTTTAAATTTGCTTCCCAAACTTTTACAAATGACACATGCCAGATTCAAATATGTGCACATTTCTGCCACATAATACTATATGAGGCAGTTACTATAAGCCTGACACTTGGGTGGGCACGAGTTACTATGGGCCCAGACTTCTAGAAACTTACAGCACCTGAACCAGAATAAGGAAACAATGAATCCATTTTTAATGACTAAACAAATGCATGAATAAATGAATAAATCTATCAAGATTGAAAGACCAAGCTGTGCTCAAGGTGATGAGGGGTCCTAAGAGAAGGCACTTAACTCAACACAGGAGAAATGATGTCAAAAAGATAAAAAGAACTCATAGAGACAGGAGGTAGAATAATGGTTGCCAGGGGCTAGGGAAATGGGGCAATGGAGAGTTATTGTTTAATAGATACAGAGTTTCAATTTTACAAGATGAAAGGGTTCTGTGGATGCATGGTGGCATCGGTAACACAGCAATGCCATAGAACTACACACATAAAAATAGTTAAGATGGTAGATTTTATGCTATGTATATTTTACCACAATTAAAATTTCTACATAAATAGATAAATAAAAAGTTTCCCTGAGAAGATATCATCAGAGCTGAGAGTATTTTTTTAATATGCAGAATTAACAAGACCTTACAAAGTTTTTAACAACAAAAAATCACTTTTTAAATAATAATATAACTTGCTTATTCTAAGCTTCTGGTTAATAAAATATTTTTTAATGGAGGGAATTTTGACTGTGATGGTGGTCATGGTGGTAGTGGTGGTGGTGTTAATCTTGAAAATTATAACAAGTGATACTTCTTTGCATATCAGGTGTATCTTGAAAAGTTGCATGTAAATAGAATTTTATAAAATAAAATTTCAAATGTGCAAGGAAAACTGTTTGGAGATATCCCACTCTGTATCTCTAACATATTTCTCATAAATCCCAATGTTTTCATATCTGCTTTAATTAAAGAGTTACTCCTTACCTATTGCCATTATTACTACTGACATCCTTGTAGAATGTTTCTTATTATCATCTGTTTATTGGTAGAGATAAAATGAATAGGCATTCTGCAAATAGGATATATATCTGTTTTAAGTTGAAATTGTTCTTGAATTATAAAAGATGGGGTATATGATTTAAAAAACTGGCCCTTCTAATAGATTCAAATATAACACTGTAAATTTAATTTCATGTAAACACCCTTGTCCCGTGTATTTACAGGAACAAATAAGATTGACCTGCCTCTGAATCTAGCTGTAGGTAATTAGTAATTATTCTCAGTCTAAAATATGGTCATAGAAATCTAAACAATTTAGAAAGGTACATATTATGATTTTTTAATGAACCAAACCAAACTTTATGTTCCTTCTATTTCTGTTCTCTCATTTTTTATTCTTCAGCCCCTGATTCCCCATCATCTTATGTTTCCTAGGTTTCTCATTCTTCTCTTTGAATTGCGTTTGTTCCTGACTGTTTTGCAAGGACAGCCTACATCACTACAGTCTTACCATCAGTGACACTGAGGAATTCACTGCATAATTTATTGTGAAGAAATCCAGATATCAGGGAAGAAAAAAAGAAAGACGGGAAGAAAGGAGGGAGAGGCCAGGCGCGGTGGCTCACGCCTGTAATCCCAGCACTTTGGGAGGCCGAGGCGGGTGGATCACAAGGTCAGGAGTTCAAGACCAGCCTGGCCAAGATGGTGAAACCCTGTCTCTACTGAAAATAAAAAATTAGCCGGGCGTGGTGGCAGGCGCCTGTAGTCCCAGCTGCTCGGGAGGCTGAGGCAGGAGAATTCCTTGAACCTGGGAGGCGGAGGTTGCAGTGAGCCGAGATCGTGCCACTGCACTCTAGCCTGGGCGACAAAGTGAGACTCCATCTCAAAAAAAAAAAAAAAAAAAGAAAGGGAGGAGAGAAGGAGGAAAAAAAATAGAGAAAGGAAGGTAAGAAGGGAAGGAGGGAAAAGGGGAAAGACAGACACAAAAGGAGAAATAGAAGAAGGAAAGAAGAGACAAAGTGCCAGCTGCCTCAGCCTTGAGCCTCTGGATAATTCAACAACTGCTCAGAAATTAGCTATAGAGAAATGAACAGGAAAAAGTTAATGCACTACTTTTCACCTACATAGCAATATAAAATCATGGAAAGAACTTAAGATTTGAGTAATCCAAACTGGATTTCAATTACTATTTTGCCACTTAACGCTGATTAATGTGAGTCATATAACTTCTCTGAGCCATTTCCTCCCCAATAAAGTGGAGAGAATAATACCTAACCTTGCTATTATTGTGAGAATTAAATAGAAAATTGTATTTAAGCTTCCTGGTTCTTAATAACGTTAGTTCCCTTCATCCTTGACTTTTTTAAAAACTAAAATCTGACATTGATAAAGTTTAATTAACATTTCAACATTTTCCAATTAATGTTTGCGTTTGCTATTAAGCCAGAATATATGAACCTTATTTTGGTTATGTGTACACAAATAGACATTTCAGTTTTGTTAGACACCATCAGTATACAAGCTTCACATGTCAGGAGTGTCTGTTCCTGATTTATAATTTAAATTTTATACCAGAAAAAGAGCATGTGTTAGTCATTGGCTTAACAGTAAATTAGCCTATTAACATTGTGATTAAACTTTATTTGAAGAGTCATGAGCAACTACTCTCTTTATCTAAACATCCACAAATTATATTTTTGGAAAAGCAAGAAATGTGAGTTTACATGTTAAAGCAATACTCATATATTGAAAACAATACGCATATACACAATGTGGACTCTAAGTGACGCCTATACCCTCAAAATATGAATTGATTGCTTACTATGTGCCTGTAGCACACAGTAACTTGAACGTATAGCAGTGCATAGATGTGATGCCCTTCCTAATCCATCATAAGGGTCACAGCTGATACTCCTGTAAAAAAAAGACTGGTTAACAAGAGAAAAGCATAAAAGATTGATCAAAATTTCACATGACACAGGAGCCTTCAGAAATAAAGACCCAAAGATAAAGGGAAAACTATTAATTTTTATGCTTAAGTTGAATGAAGAATGGACAGCCATGTAGAAACGTGATTGGACAGAAAGGGTATGTTTTAATGGTAATAGATTGAGTAAGGAAACCAGCAAGGCCTGTCTGTTCGGATTCTTCCTGGCCTCTCTGTGTGGTATTCCTCCTCCTGAGAACAGGGCAGAACCCCTTCCAGAATGCTATCAGATAAGAGTAGATCAGAAAATGTCTTTATGGTCACCTCCTAGATCTAGACAGAAAAGCGGGGGAAGATTAAAGTAGTAATTCTAGTTTTTATGGCTGGCTTTGGGGAAGAGGGGTTCTATTTTCTAGGACCTGCCTTGGGAAAGAGGAATTCTAGTTTCTAACACCTGCCTTATGGGAAAAAGGGGAGCAAGAGAAGGAAGAGCAGCAGAAGGTCAGAAAGATCTCACTACTGAGCCTTCCACTACCCTTTAGTTCAAAGTACTCAGTATGCCAAAGCCCCATTCCTTGGGGTATCATTTTCTGAGCCCCAGCATATACATGTGAGATACTCAGGGGGAAAATGAGTTAATTACAATGCAGTGGCTCAGAGTTTGGGCTTAAATACCATCACCCTGCTGAAACCAAGAATGAAGGGTGTGGGGGAGAGCCAGTTATGGGGAGATGCCCAGAAAAAGTACGATAAACAAGGGTAAGGTTTGGTATCCAAATTTAAATCTGTGCCTTCTGCATTGATAAGAGTATCTAATTATTTAGTCACCCTTCTCTTCCTGGTACAGAGAGGGAGACACCCTTACAGATGAAGATTTATAAAGCTATAAATTTCCCTTTCAAAAAGGTAACTTCTACTCTGGTTTTCAGAGATTCTTCTGTGGCTGCTGTTTCTCAAAGTGGCCAGCTCATAAATAATCCTTATTTTGAGGTGGCATATTCTGTTCTCCTACAGTCACATATGGGGGTAGCATGTCCTGAGCCCGATCACTGGTCTGGGTATATAAAGACACTGAATGCCAGCTCCAAACAGATAAAGGCCAGGCACAGTGGCTCATGCCTGTAATCCTAGCACATTGGGAGGCCGAGGCGGGTGGATCATGAGGGCAGGAGTTCGAGACCAGCCTGGCCAATATGGTGAAACCCTGTCTCTACTAAAAATACAAAAATTATCTGGGCATGGTGGCACATGCCTGTAGTCCCAGCTACTCAATAGGCTGAGGCAGGAGAATTGCTTGAACCCCGGAGGCGGAGGTTGCTGTGAGCCAAGATCGCACCACTGCACTCTAGCATGGGTGACAGAGCAAGACTCCATCTCAAAAAAAAAATTTTTTTCTAAATAGTTAGCATAAAGCCAGTAGATTTCTAAAAATTACCACAGGCAAAGAGTTAAAAGTAAATTACTGACCTGGTCCAATCCAGGTCTAAGCAGGCATCCCAATGTCTGGTACGCCTGTTTACATTTTGGCTTAATCATTGTCTGTAATTGAGGACTCTTAGTAGGCAATATTCAGCAATTTACTCAGGGGGGAAAATGTTTCTTCTTGATGGTAAGTATGATGTCACCACAAAATATAAAACTGGAATTAGCCAGATAGTACATATTAATCTATAATAGTTTTACATTTGTACAGGAAAACTGCCCTGTAAAATTAAATTTTTAATTATACATTTTTAATTTTAATTTTAACTAAATTTTAAAATGAAACTACAGTATGCCACACCCCTCTTAGTTTTCAGAGTTATTTAAATGTGACATAGATGTATTAGTGACAATCCTAGCACAAAGCATATGGAAAGCTCAAAACATTTGACTTACAGCTTTTGAGGCAATGGAGATAATTAAAGGAACCCACAAAGGATGGTGAAGCCTCCAGAGATTAATAACCATGGGACTCCAGAACCTCCCGCAAGTCTGAAAGGCAAGAAGAGGAAAGTGTTACTAGAGTGTGGAGAAACCTGGAACCCTGAAACAAGAGGCAGCTGATAACAATTACATACATGCTAAAGACCAGTCCCAACCAGAGACTCCCTCCCTGATATAATCAGAAGGATTAAATTGTATTAATGTTACTATAAGTAATAATAACAGCTAATACTAACACTAATCAAGATATTACTATGTGGCATCCACTGTTGTAAGCATCTGTCATGCATGTTCTCATCCATTCTTCAGCCATGAGGGGCATATTACTTGTGTCCCCAATTTGCAGAGAATAAATAATGTGCCCAAACAGCTTGTAAAAGACTAAGTCCAAATTTAAACCCAGGCAGTCTGACTGAGGAGGCTATACTCTTAACCACAAAAAGGTCTGTGTAATTAGAATTGCATTCAAATGCAATCTTTACAGTGAATCAGAAATCAGGGCATTTGCTCCAGACTCCACTCTCCAATTCAGTTGGTTTACTTTAGGCAGAGAGATTTCTTTAATTATGTAAAATCTATTTGAGGAACTGTTTTTTGATTCATCCCATGGGAGGAAAAACATAATGTCATCACCTCTTGAAACTGTCAAATGTTTTTATCTTTTCAAAGCTGTTTGTTTTTCTGTGCTTATTTTCAGGGTTTTTATGCAGTCAGACTGGAAGTTGCCGGCTGCATCTGGTACCCAGCTAAGTCTTTCCATCCATGTTGTCCTGCCTGCATCCGGGCCTTACATTAACTCTGAAGGGGACAGAATACTGTCTCGGAAAGGACTTTCAGTGTAGGAGGAGGGGCTACTTATCTTAGAAAATGCTTTCATTCACTTCTAACTTTCACCACCCCCACCCCAACTCTCATCCCCCATACCATTCTGGTTTTTAAGCAGGAAAATTTGTATATTCTTCTAACGTATTTAGTAAAAGAGATTATAATACAGTGCTTTGGTAAATTCATCATCAAATACACTTTGTCAAAATATTGGCTTGGTGCAAAAGTAATTGTGGTCTTTGTCATTACTTTTAATGGCAAAGACCCCAGTTACTTTTGCACCAACCTAACATGTAGCTTATACTAGTCAGAGTTCTCCAGAGAGACAGAACCAATAGGAGGGAATGTATTAGGGGAATTGGTTCATGCAATTATGAAAGCTGAGAAGTCCCATGACAGGCCGCCTACAAGCTGGACAACCAAGGAAGTGAGTAACATGACTCAGTCCAAGTCCAAAGGCCTAAGAATCAGGGTGGGGCCAAGGAAGCCAACTCAACAACTATCTGTTTAAGGCCAAAGGCCTGAGAACCTGGCGGGGGCTGGTGGTGCAATTCCCAGAGTTGAGGGGCCAGAAAATCTGGAGTTCTGATGTCCAACGACAGAAGGAAAAGGGTGTCCCAGCTTCAATAGAGAGAGAAGTCTCCTCTGCTCTGCCTTTTTATTCTATCTGGGCCCTCAGTCAATTGGATGATGCCTGCACACAATAGGTAAGGTCAGATCTTCCTTTCTTTGTCCATTGATTCAAATGCCAATCTCTCTCTCTTTTTTTTTTTTAACTTTTATTTTAGGTTTGGGGGTACATGTGAAGGTTTGTTACATAGGTAAACTCATGTCTTGGGGGTTTGTTGTACAGATTATTTCCTCACCTTTTTCTGCTCCTCTCCCTCCTCTCACCCTCCCTCCTCAAGTAGACCGCAGTGTCTGTTTTTTCCTTCTTTGTGTTCATAAATTCTCAATTCTTAGCTCCCACTTATAAGTGAGAACATGTGGTATTTGGTTTTCAGTTCCTGTGTTAGTTTGCTGAAGATAATAACCTCCAGCTACGTCCATGTTCCCGCAAAAGACATGATCTTGTTCTTTTTTATGGCTGCATAGTATTCCATGGTGTATATGTACCACATTTTCTTTATCCAGTCTGTCATTGATGGACATTTGGGTTGATTCTGTCTTTGCTATTGTAAATAGTGCTGCAGTGAACATGCATGTGCATGTGTCTTTATAATAGAGTGATTTATATTCCTCTGGATATATACCCAGTAATGGGATTGCTGGGCTGAATGGTAGTTCTATTTTTAACTCTTTGAGGAATCATATATTGCTTTCCACAATGATTGGAATAATTTACACTCCCACCAACAGTGTATAAGTGTTCCCTTTTCCCTACAACCTCACCAGCATCTGTTATTTTTTGACTTTTTAATAATGGCCATGCTGACTGGTGTGAGAAGGTATCTCATTGTATCTGCATTTCTCTAACAATTAGTGATATTGAGCTTTTTGTATATGCTTTTTGGCCACATGTATGTCTTCTTTTGAAAAGTGTCTGTTCATGTCCTTTGCTCACTTTTTAATGGGGTTGTTTTTTTCTTTTGTAAGTTTAAGTTTCTTATAGATGCTGGATATTATACCATTGTCAGATGCATAGTTTGCAAATATTTTCTCCCATTCTGTAGGTCATCTGTTTACTCTGTTGATAGTTTATTTTGCTGTGCAGAAGCTCTTAAGTTTAATTAGATCCCACTTGTCAATTTTTGCTTTCGTTGCAATTGCTTTTGGTGTCTTTGTCGTGAAATCTTTGCCTGTTCCTATATCCAGGATGGTATTGCCTAGGTTGTCTTCCAGGGTTCTTATAGTTTTGGGTCTTACATTTACGTCTTTAACTTATCTTGAGTTGATTTTTGTATATGGTGTAAGGAAGGGGTACAGCTTCAGTCCTCTGCATATGGCTAGCCAGCTATTCCAGCACAATTTATTGAATAAAGAGTCTTTTCCCCACTGCTTGTTTTTGTCAGTTTTGTCGAAGATCAGGTTGTAGATGTGAAGCCTTATTTCTGGGCTCTATATTGTTCCATTGGTCTATATGACTGTTTTTGTACCAGTACCATGCTGTTTTGGTTACTGTAGCCCTGTAGTATAGTTTGAAGTGGGTAACGTGATCCTTTCAGCTTTGTTCTTTATGTTTAAGATTGCCTTGGCTAGTAGGGCTCTTTCTTGGTTCCATATAGATTTTAAAATATTTTTTCTAGTTCTGTGAAGAATGTCATTGGTAGTTTGATAGGAACAGCATTGAATCTGTAAATTGCTTTGGGCAGTATGGCCATTTTAATGACATTGAGATCCTATCCATGAGCATGGGATGTTTTTCCTCAAATGCCACTCTCTTCCAGAAACACCCTCATAGACAAACCCAGGAATAATGCTTTACCAGGTATCTGGGTATCCTTTAATCCAGGCAAGTTGACATCTACAGTGAACCATCATACAGCCCAATACCATTTTTTTACTTTTTATGGATAGATTATTTCATGTAGAGAAGTGCACGAATCAAAAGTATGCAGCTCAATTAATTATTAAAAATAATACCCCTATGTAGCCACTACCCAGGAAATTGAAGATTAGCAGAATTTCAGAAGCCCTCTTTTGCCCTCCTCTAATCATTGCCTACCCACTCTCTGAAAACAACCACTGCCCTAACTTCTAACTCTGTGGATGAAGTTTACCTGTGTTGAGACTTTATATAAATGAAGTCATACAATATGTACTCTTTTATGTCTGGGATTCTCTTATATCTGATTCACTCATTTTACCACATATAGCCAATGTTTATTTATTTTCATTGCAATATAGTATTCCATTGTATGAATATACCACAATTTATATAAATATTCTACTGTTGATAGATATTTGGAAATTATAAAACAGAACTAACAAAGGGCTTGTATATGAAATATATAGAGATATGCTACAATAACAAAAACTACCAATAAACCAATATAACAAAAGAGACCCTGTGGTAATAATAAAAAAAGGAGGATACCCAAATAGTCAAATAACATTAAAAGGTGCTCAATCCCCTTATTCATCCAGGAAACGTAAATTTAAGCCATGATGAAATACCACTACATATCCACCAGAATGACTAAAATGAAAGGACTGATGACAATATTAGGTGTTGATGAAGATAAGAAACAACACAGTCCTATATACCTTTGTGTATAATTGGTACAATCACTTAGGAAAACAGTCTGGCTTCATCAACTAAAGTTGAATATATTCCATTTCTAACTATAAATTCATTTAGATTTTAAATGCATTTTTAAAATATGGGCTTAGAGAAACAGTCTAGGTAGTGATTTTTGTAAAACTACCTCTGAGATCTTCCAAGTAGTTACTTATATTACGTTAATTCTAAAAAATACTGTCCAGTTCAATCTGATTGTGCTCTTCCCAGATTAGACCTTATCTAGAATGTTACATCCAAATATGTTATTTTTTACAGGTAGTTGGATCTGGGGGAAAAACCAAATATGTTATTTTCCAGTATACATTGGTAATTTGGAGATGAAGGTGGAGATTCTGCAAACTCTCTCAGTTAGTGATTAAATAAGGCATTAAGCACTAAATACCCACTATGAGCCAGAGATGGTGCTAGACGCTAGAAAGAGGTTGGAGAACAAAACAACTAACACAAAACATTTAAATATTTCAAAGTCTATCACATTTCTACATTATTTTCACTCTACTCACTCTCCCTAGGTAACATCATGTACTCTCAGTCTTCTCCTGTGAGTCTGAAACTGCCTTTGGAAAGATGATGACAGTGAGGGAAGTCTAGCATGGCTGACTCCATCTTGCCTCTAGCCTCACAGGCTGGCTGTCCTTGCTCATTCCTGGGCATAGGCCAAGTTAACCATGGAAGGAATTTATAGTTTAACTTTGAAGCAAGGATTATAATACTCCCTCCCTAAAATGAACTCCTCCTTGCTAAGGGACCCAAACCACCTTTGTAAGACTAATGAAAAGCCACAAGATTAGGATCATAGGAGAAACCTGAATTCTGCTAAATCGTAGGTGTAGCTAAATGGTAACCAGCCATTGTCCCCTAGCCTGTCTTTCTATAATCCTTTGCTGCTCAGGAGTCATGTGGTCAGAGGTCACAAGATTTAGGACTTCCTCAATTGCTCCTACAGATAATGTCACTATTGGGCTGGGCACCATGGCTCACACCTGTGATCCTAGTACTTTGGGAGGGCAAGGCAGGTAGATTGCTTGAGCTCAGGAGCTCAAGACCAGCCTGAGCAACATGGAGAAACCCTGTCTCTACAGAAAAAATACAAAAAAAAAAAAAAATAGCAAGGTGTGGTGGTATGAGCCTGTGGTCCCAGCTAGTCGTGAGGCTGAGGTGAGAGGGTCACTTTAGCCTGGGAGGGCAGAGGTTGCAGTGAGCCAAGATCACACCACAGCACTCCAGCCTGGATGACAGAGCAAGACCCCCATATCAAAATAAAATAAAAAGATAACATCACGATTTTGGCACCTAAGATTGATCTTTTATGAAGTCTTTCAGACTTCTGCATTCTGGCAACCAATCAACTCCACCCAAACCCAGGATTCATGACTCAACCAGTCCTGTGGCCCCCTCCCAGAGGCAGACTCAGTACACAGAGACTGTTTTTCACACCTCTATGATTTCATCCCCAACCAACCAGCAACACCCATTCCCTAGCCGTCTGCCCACCAAAGTATCCATTAAAACTCTAGCTTCTGAGTTCTTGGGGAGACTTATTGGAGTAATAATTCCAGCCCTTCTGCTTG
Source organism: Homo sapiens (assembly GCF_000001405.40). Classification (NCBI taxonomy): domain Eukaryota; kingdom Metazoa; phylum Chordata; class Mammalia; order Primates; family Hominidae; genus Homo; species Homo sapiens. Next base: position 83,727,429 of record NC_000004.12, on the reverse strand, counting down.
GCTAGGTCTTCATTAACTATCTCTACTAGTCCATGCAGCAGGCAGTAAGAACCTATTGGGCAATTACAAGTCTTTTCCTGTGATCTCTAGGCTTACAATTCCTGAGTCTTAATATTCAACCCAAATCTCTACCCTTAGCACCAGACTTTTACCTCAACCTGCTAACTGGATGTCCATTTGCTCCAGCTGCTCGTATCTAAATCTAACTCATCTTCCCCCAAACCTTCTACCTCTGTTAGCAGTTACAGCATCCATGAAGTCTCTGAAGCTGAAAATTAGACAGTCATCTCTGAATTCTTTTTATCTATCTCTCACCCTTAACATCTATTTAATTGCTAAATCCTGCTGATTTTACTTCCACCTTACCTCCATCCTCTTTCATTAGCACCTGCCTAGATTGCAAAAGCAGCCTCCCAGCCATGCCTCTGAACTTCCAGTCAACACACCTTTTGGCAGTGCCCACCTGTCCTACCTTACAGGCAATGGGATCTAGTTGATTTCCCTCGTCAAACCATTCAATGGTTCTTCATCACCTTTAGTACAGAGCATAACCTACAGTCATCTCAGTTTATATTGTAAAAGCAGAGACTATTCAGAAACTGGTAACAGTAGCTGCTTTCTGAAGGGGAACCTGTTGACTGGGGGAATGGGAAGAGACACTTAGTTTTCACCATGTACCCTCTTTATTTTTTGTAACTTGGTACCATAGCCAGGTCTTGCCTATTCAAAAAACATTTTTTAACATATGCCATAAGATTCTGCATATTGGCAATAAAAGGGCTACAAATTTGGTTCTGAGCATCCTGATAGCCAAAGAAACAAGAGAAACAAAATTAAAGTCATATGTTCATTAAGATCAAATCAAACCAACTCCTGAGAACAAGCCCAGCTTTTCCTGGTTCTAAAATATTTTTTTAAAGAAGCTTTCCTCTGGGTTCTTATGAATAGAGCATGTGTAGGGGAAATCTTCAACACCATTCCCAAATAATTTCAACAGTGACTTTCAGGCTGCTGACCCTTACAACATTCCTCCAATAACCCAAAAGCATAACTGAAAAAGTTTGGTACAGCCGTTCTCCCAGGAGCCAGTCATCTAATTGTGATGGTTTCAGATGCTCCATTCAAACTGGATCTCGTAATATGGTCAGCACAAAAAGAAATGAATATTTTCCTCTAGTAATATATATGAAAGAACTCTGCGCAAATAAGAGTTGCTAACAGTGAAACAGTCTGATTCTGAGGTAATTAGACCATCTTCACTATCAGGGATATTGCAGAAGAGATTGCTGCCTTGGATAGAAGTTTGGAAAAAATAACTTCTAAGATCGTTTCAAATATTAAGATTCTACAAGGTGGTGCATCTAAGCATCCTGAAATTGCCTTTTAAAGTTTCAGCACATCTCTATGTGTTAGGTGCTATTATTTAAATACATTTAAGATCTGTTGTCTGCTTTGCTCATAGGGCTTCCTTGTAACTGGGAAATTCCCTGAATAGAAGGAGAGGCACTATCAGCATGTGATTTAAAGGAAGTTTAAAGAGCTAAATTTGTAGCTTGTGAGGCATTTAAGAAGACCCATGAGCTCAGATTCTCAGTTCCACATCTACCGGCTACCTTCCATGCTCAACAAGGCTAAATAATTCTACCCAAAACAAGCAGTACTACTCCATTTCTTGCCCTAGATTTTCTTACATCAGACAAGGAGAAAGTATCTCAGCCTGCGTCTACACAAAGCTACAGTAAATATCGGAGGGCCAGACCCCTTTCTAAGCATGTGTGTGCGCATGCACCACACACTTCCAAATTGAAAAGTTCTATCGTATAAGAGGAAAAAAGGAGGGAGAAAGAAGTAAAGAAGGGAAGGGGGTTGGGAAGGAAGTAAGAAGGAAAGAGGGAAGAGAGAGAGGGAGTAAGGAGGGAAGGGGGAAAGAGGGGAAGGGAGGAAGGGAGGGAGGGGGAAGGGGGGAAGAGGAGAAGGGGGGAAGGAAGGAAGGAAGGAAGGAAGGAAGGAAGGAAGGAAGGAAGGAAGGAAGGAAGGAAGGAAGGAAGGAAGGAAAAGCAAGACGGGAACTCCCCAGGCCCAGTTTGCAGGGGAGGTGGGAAGAGGAGAGGAATGTCCTTGCCACCCAGGGCCCAGCCCAGTGCTCACTTTGCCAAGACTCGCTGTACCTCTGTCATCACATTCTCTTGGCGCCTAAAAGGTAAGTACCATCTTCTTAGCCTGTGGCTGAAGGGAAGCAGAGAGGGAGAAAGGTTGCGAAGCGTCTAGCTGGGAGTATATGCAAACTAAATCAAATGTATTGTTCAAAATTTACAGTGGGTCATCTCTTCTTTTTTCTTATTTCTTTTCAATATCGAATGAAGGGCTGACCAGCAAGGTCAAACTCCCCTTATTAATGAGGCATTCCTGGGGCTCTGTCTCATTAGGGCACTCAGAACTGTGCATTTACTGCAATTTGCAGCACTTAATAGAGAAAGGTCAGAGTGGGTCACGTTCAATTTCCACTTGGCAGAGGGAGGAAAAATGGAAGCAATTCATTTGCACAAATTTGAATAATTCTTCTCAGTCTCCTTTTCTTTATCTACGTATGGATAATTCCTGCATCTTACCTCACTCACAATCATTTCAGAACTGCCAACTGCCGGATTTCTATGAAGGCTGTAATGTTGCTGACAGATTCTATGAATCCAGGTGTCAAAATAAAGCCTCTGGCTTCTTCCCCCACCCCCTTCTCACAACAGGGAATAGGAGCTGCCTCTAGTGAGCTCTTAAACTTATCATAAATGTATCAAGATTGCTGTGGGCCATGAAACAGCTGTAGACAATTAATCTTTCCACAATTCTTCGGCATAAGAATTGCTTTCCCCGCAAAGTAACATCTGCCGTGCTGAGGTGATTATTCACGGCCGATGGGCGCCACCATAGTTTTATGCATAGAGCCATCAGTGGCAATGAAGCAAAATTTATAGTTTTCCCTGGTTCAGTAAAAATAACATTTCAGCTGCATTAAAACATCATCCATCAGCATTGTCCCAGAGCCCAGAGCCCCATCTCATCCAAAGAAATTAAAAAGTATTCATTTTAATGCTAACTTCTGAAGCTTGCAATGACACCACTGCCTTTTGCGGGTAGGAGGTAATATCACGGAGGAAGACGGAAGGAAAAGGTTATGTAGCAGAGTGAAGTTGAGTATTAAATGTGCTACTAGATAGTAATGATGTCCCAATTACTGGACTGCTGGTTCTTATTTATTCATAGCCCCTGAATGGTTAATCAAAAATCCTTGAATCAGATTGAACAACTAAAAAAGGAAAGTTATTTCACACAAGCAATATAATTCCCTGGCTTCAAGGGAAGGTATCAAATGGATACCAAAGCAATAGATGCCTCTTCCAATGCAGTGGGCATTTTGTTTGTTTAACAGTTGAAACATGAATCTGGTGGAATAAGATTTACCTTGACGGGAAAAAAGGGCGTTTGCTTTTGAACCTCCCTCAGGATTATGTCAAGCTCAGGGCTTGCTCTCAAAAGCGAAAGAGCCTCCCAGTACTTTGAAGCTCTGTTTATAAAGTGGCCAGTTTTAGAACTGGGTGTATGGATATTTGAAAACCACAAAATAGAGGCAGAGAAAGAGGAAGTCCGTGGAGTTTCTTGGCCCACACAGGCCTTCATACACAGTGCAGGTCTCGAAACACACCAATTTGCAAATAAAACATAAATATTATGTTATATTCACACTCACACATGCTGCGTTCCACTGAGCCACCCTTACAATACTCATGTTTTTAAAATTTCAAATAATGAGTCCACCAAGTCAACCTGGACTTGGGGTGGTATGCTCCACGTCCTGTGCTATATGCTAGGAATACACAGACGTGTAAAAGAGAGGTCCTGCCTGTGGGCAGCCACAGTCCAAAAAGAAAGCATATAAACAAATAATTAAAATACAGGTGGTAAGTGGCATAATGAAAGAATAAACAAAGTGCTATGGTTGTATAGAAAATGCTATTGCTCAGCTGAGAAGAGTAAAAGAAAAATGTCAATTCAATGCAGTTCAGAAAATTAGAGGGTATCTGAATACTTACTATTACAGGCATCAGTAAATATCATCTGGCAATTGTGTCATCATACCTAAAAACACTACTATTCAAAGTCATAAGCAAATTCACTTAGAAAGTCACTGAGAAAAGCTAAGAATGAACTGGAAGGTGAGACTTTGCCTCTGGTGCTATAGCACTGATATTTCACTGGTGTTGCCTCCTACAGAGGCTTTATAAGGTGCAATGCTCTATAAAGGATCTCTCAAAATCGATGTTTGTCCTTGGCGTGTTTTCATCCAAAAGTGAAAGCTAATCATTTTTTACTCATTGGAGATTCTCTTAATTTCACAGTCAATGAAACACAGATTTCACTGCAAGCCAAAAGTTGAATTTTGCAAAGGTCAAAGGGAAAATTCAAGTTGCTGTGTCAGTGAGTCTCAAACCACAGGCTGAGATGTGCTGATCTGTCACAGCAGAATAACCTCAACACGGGACTGACTCCTTGCCTGACAGGGAGCATTGGGGGAACACAGATCCTCAGGACAGGTCCACAAAGAGGCAGGTCCACATTGCAGCAAGGTCCTCCAGTCGGTTAAAATTGATCTTTCTTTTTTTTTTCCAATTTAAAAATACTAATGTCTTTCGAAATTGCTTAGAGGTTGTGTGAATTTAGTGAACAAACACTTTTAAATACCTTCAATAAGCTTATACTTAGTCAAGTTTAAGGTTGAAAGAGAGAAAAAGAGTCGTTCAATATATTTTTAAAGTTGTATATATAAATAAATTTATATATTTTTAATATAACATATAAATATGTCGATTTATATATATAACTTTAAAATTATGTTAAATAGCTGTATATATTATATACAACTATATATATACAATTCTAGGCCAGACGCAGTAGCTCATGCCTGTAATCCCAATACTTTGGGAAGCACAGCCCAGGATTGCTTGAGCCTAGGAGTTCGAGACTAGCCTAGGCAACATAGTGAGACTTTGTCTCTAAAAAAAAACTAGCAAAATACCCAGGTGTGGTGGCTCACACCTGTTGCCTCAGCTACTTGGGAGACTGAAACAGGAAAATCGCTTGAGCCTGGGAGGTTGAGGTTGCAGTGAGCTGAGATTGCACCACTGCACTCCAGCCTGGATGACAGAGTAAGACCCTGTCTCAAAAACATAAATAAATAAACAATCCTATAGATCTCTGAATAACTATGTTGAATTCTCATCACATGAGCTTTCAATGATGTGTGTCTCTCCAGCCCTTGCTGTATGTATGTCAATAGAAATTCTATGAAGGGAAATGGCTCTGGAGGAATACCAGATTCTCAACCAAAAGGTGACAATACAATAAAAAATTATTTCAGTGAAAAAGAAAAGTTAGCTGTATAAGGGTGTACACTAATAAACAGATTTAAAACTTTACGTACAATAAATGAAAAGAGGATATAATCTGGAAGAAATTTTTCTCAGTGCATAAAGCTGTAGGAATATTGTTTTGAAAGATAAAATCTGGAATGGATTGAAGATTGAGAAAAATTCTATAGAGAAAATATGCCTCTTTTTTTAAGCTGTATTTATTGTCACAAAAACAAAATATCAAGGCCAACTCATTGTGACAGATATGAGGAGTCAGAACTAGTCAATGCCTGTTTTGTTTCAGCCTTCTCTATCCACAGCATGACTTTCACTCCTGAGAGGAGAGCGCTGATGTGGTTGAAGAGGAAGTAGAGCCCCGGGAAGGTGGAAGATAGTCAGGACCCAGCAAGCAGTTTGAAATAAATTCAAGTTTCGGGACCCAAAATAATAACTTTCCAGAGTATTAAAAAGACCACAATTATCATCCCACAATTACTGTCAAAATCCCAAGAAATTAAGGGAAAGGGAAAGGTTCCCCAAAACTAGATGAGAGCAAACATCTATATTTCCAAAAGAAATAAAGCGGACCCAAGGAACATTTTATGTTGAATCCCAGGATAATTCTAGATGTCTTGTGAGCACTGGAAAATAAAAGTGGGGTTCACTTGGATAACCCAGACTAACAAACAGGAGGGCCAGAGATTTACTCCATCTTGATTTCATCAGAGCATTTAATAAAATGGCTGGGATCTTTGTATTCAAGATGGAGAAATGGGGCTGAGGGAGTGAGAATGTGCAGAATTTATAGCTGGTTGAACAGTGTTAATTAAGTAACAGAGGGAACCCAGGGGAAGTTGGTATGCTGGAGTGCAGGTCCAAGAATCTGTGTGTTCAATTTTACTTTCTTGAAAGAAGACATCTCTCATACTGTAGTTGGCCCAGGGTGAGAGGAGAAGCTAACATTGCCAAAGGCTGCCAGCCTTACAATTTTTAAATAAGTTGGGAGCTGGCTGATGAGCCAGAAATAATAAGATAAAGTGTAATAAAAATAAATGTAAAGCCCAACATCCTCATTCAATAAATTGGAGCTCACAAACCAACCTCAAGCTTAACTGTGACCTAGAAAAAGAAGTCCCATTAAATGCAGGAGCAGCACAAGCATCATTTAAAGTTCAACAAATAAGATTCTACACTTAGTCCTAGCCAATTTAAAAAAAACAAATAAAATAAATAAAAACAACCAGTAAAGATAAAAGATTGATATCCAGGCAATATGACTAGATACTCAGAAAGTACAAGAGAATCAAACAATTAGAAAACTATCTTTGAAAGCAAATAAGGCCAGAAGTAGTGGCACATGCCTATAATCCCAACACTTTGGGAGGCGGAAGCAGGTGGACCACTTGAGGTTAGAGTTCAAGACCAGCCTGGCCAACATGGTGACACCCTGTCTCCACAAAAAATACAAAAATTAGCCGGGCGTGGTGGCATGCACCTGTAATCCCAGCTCCTCCGGAGGCTGAGGCAGGAGAATCTCTTGAACCTGGGAGGCGGAGGTTGCAGTGAGCTGAGATTGCGCCACTGTACTCCAGCCTGGGTGACAAAATAAGACTCCGTCTCAGAAAAAAAAAAGCTACTAAAAGTAGTAATCCAAGATGAAGTTACAAAAATTGAATGCTTTTCTATATTTCTAGAAAAGCCATTTCAAAAATGTTTTAAAATCTCATGTAGAATTGTGAAAATAAATAAAAAATAAAATATCTAGAAATAACTGAAAATAAATGGCAGGATCTATATAAAATATGTGGAAAAATTTTACCAAGAGATTGTTTTTAAAGGTTTGAATAAGTAAAGAGATATAAGACATTCCTGAATATTAATGAAATCTAATTCAAATCTCGACCAATTTATTTTAACTTAAAAAGTATTCTAAATTAATCTAGAAGAATAAAGAAAGGCAAAAGGCCCATTTTAAACATAGGCACCATGAAGGAGTACTAGTATCATCAAATATTAAAACAAGTTGCAAATTTATAATAAATAAACTGGTAGGGTATTGACTTGAGAATTGTTAGATCAATTAAAAACAATGAAGTTGTGATATATAATGCCAACTACACCATCATTCAGGAACAAAGGACAGCTTTTTAATTGACAAATTCTGTCAATTGTTTCAAAAAAATGTTTAAATGATACTTTGCCCATAAAAAAATTTCAGAAGGACTCAATAATTAAGTAAGTTAAATTTAAGAAGTTAGAGGAAATCTAGGCATTTCTGATTTCTGAATTAGGAAAGATGTTCTAGGAATGAAAGAAATAGAAGAAAGCATAACAAAAAAGATAGTTAAAATTGAAAATAATTAAAATATGTTTTATGTCTTTGTAACATAACATTAGAAAGAATCTGTATTTAAAAAGAGAAGTAAAAAAGCAAACGAAACTGACAAAGATATTTGGAGTAAATATTATAGATATAATGTTCTTCAAAACTAAAGAGTTCACAATAAATTAATAAGAAATTCAAGACCAAAGTAAATAAGCAAATAATACTAACAGATAATTTACAAAAGAATAAATAAAATTATGTAACAAATACTTGAAATTACTAATACTAAAAATTTATAATCATGGCCAGGCACAGTGGCTCACAGCTGTAATCCCAGCACTTTGGGAGGCTGAGGAAGGCAGACCACCTAAGTCAGGAGCTCGAGATCAGCTTGGCCAACATGGCGAAACCCCTTCTGTACTAAACATACAAAAAATTAGCCAGGTGTGGTGATGTGCGCCTGTAATCCCAGCTACTCAGGAGGCTGGGGCAGAAGAATCGTTTGAACCCAGGAGGTGAAGGCTGCAGTGAGCTGAGATCGCACCACTGTACTGCAGCCTGGGTGACAGAACGAGACTCTGTCTCAAAAAAAAATTTACAATCATAATACATTGTTTTTGCCTGCTGACTTAATAATTATTTTTTCAAAAAAATCTAATATTTGTGGAAGTACAGTGAAATGGATACTTTCACATACAACTGGTAAAAGTAGAAATTAGTGCAGCATTTCTGGGGAGAAATTTGGCAATATGAATGAAGAGACTGAAATATATTCTTACTCTTTAATCCAGTAATTCCACTTTAGAAATAAATCCTAAGGAAATACTCCAAAATACAATGGATTAATTTTAAAGGCTTAAGCCATGAAAATAGTTATCTCATAATTGTGAACACACTAGATAAATATTTAATAAAAGAATATCAGTACACAATGGAATATGTTTTTACATATTACAGTAAGATTCTAAATACATAGATGTGTTGTGGACTGAATTCACATATTAAAGTCCTAAATCCCAGCACCTCAGAATGTGACTATATTTGGAGATAGAACCTGTAAAGAGTTATGTAATTAAGTAATGAGACCATTAGGGTGGGCCCTAACTCAATCTGACTCATGTCTTTATAAGAAGAGAAGATTAGGCTCCACAAAAAAGAAACCAGGCCCATGTATGCATAGAGGAATGACCATGTGAAGAGGCAGCACTTGCACACCAAGGAGAGTGGCTTCAGAAGAAACCAATCCCGCAGGCACCTAGATCTTGGACTTTCAGCCTCCAAAACTGTGAGAAAACACATTTCTGTTGTTTAAGCCACTCAGTCTTTGGTATTTTGTTATGGCAGCCCTAGCAAACTAACACAACATGTTATAATGTTAGAAGGAAAAACAAGGATATGTATTTATAAATACAGTCGACCTGTGAACAGTGTGGGACTTAGAGGCGCCAATCCCTGTTCAGTCAAAAATCCATGTATAACTTTTGAGTCACCAAAACTTAACTACTAATACACTACTATTGACTGGAAGCCTTACTGATAACATACACAGACGATTAGCACATATTTTGTATGTTATGTGTATTAAATACCGTATTCTTACAATAAAGTAAGATAGAGGAAAGAAAATATTAAGAACATCATAAGGAAGAGAAAATATATTTACTATTTATTGATTGGACGTAGGTCCTCATAAGGTCTTCCTCCTTATTTTCTTCACATTGAATAGGCTGACGAGAGGTTGGTCTTGCTGTCTCAGGGGTGGTAGAAGCAGGAGAGTTAGAGGAGGTGGAAGGAGAGGCAGGAGAGGCAGGCACACTCGATGTAACTTTCACTGAAAAAAAGTCACGGATAAGTGAACCCACACAGTTCAAACACATATTTTCCAAGGGTTAACTGTACATTAGGATCTCAACTATGATTAATGTTTTTTCTTAAAGAGAAGACTGAAAGGAAATATACACCATAATTACAATAGTTGTTGCCTCTGAATGGTAGAGTTGTGGGTCAATATTTTTATTCTTTTTATACTTTCACTAATATTCAAATGCTCTACAGTGAACCTATATTGCTTCTAAAATCAAGAAAAAGAATACTTCTGGTCGGGCATGGGGCTCATGCCTGTAATCCCAGCACTTTGGGAGGCCAAGGTGGGTGGTTGAGCACGAGAGTTCGAGATCAGCCTGGGCAACATAGTCAGGCACTCTTTCTACAAAAAATTTAAAAATTAGCTGGGCATGGTGGTACACACCTGTGGTCCCAGTTACTCAGGAGGCTGAAGTGGGAGGATTGTTTGAGACTGGGTGGTTGAGGCTGCAGTGAGCCATGAGCACACTACTGCACTCCAGCCTAGTAGAGAGAGCAAGAGTCTGTCTCAAAAAACAAACAAACAAAAGAATACTTTTTAATGTAAGTTAATTATAAATAAATATAGAAAGACTCTGTCCCAATAGAAAAATTCTGCACAAAAGACATAAGGATTAATAAACTTGAGGATATTATGCTAAGTGAAATGAGCCAGTCACAAAAATATAAATACTTTAAGACACCACTCACTCCTCAGAACAGAAAGTAAAATGGTGGGTGCCAGGAGCTGGGAGGTAGTGGAAATGGGAAGCTATTGCTCCATAGGCATAGAGTTTCAGTTTTGCAAGATGAAAAGATTCTAGAGATTTGTTGCACAACAATGTGAATATACAAAACACTGCTGAAATGTACACTTAAAAATGGTTAAAATGGTAAGTCTTATGTATTTTTGCCATAATTAAAAATTTTAATAAACAAATAAATGACATAAAGATTAGAGTTGACTACAGCTCTATGAGTCAACACTTTGACCTTCTTGTGAAAATACTTTTCTTATATTTTTATATTTTTATGAAAGGAGTAAGTGTACATGATTACAACATCAAATAGAACATAAGTGCTTATTATTACGTTTTCTATCCTACGCCATTCTACTCTTCATTCTCTTTGTTATTGTAGAGTTTATATCTTTTAAATTATTTATTTTAAGGAAATCTATAGGGGAGAAAATAAGTGTGAAATCTGACATCTTGAACAGTTTAATTCTATCTTAAGTTGTACTCACAATGAGGTATCCAAACAAGAATATACCACTCTTAAGAGAACGGCTTTTAATGCTAGACCAGATTTTAAACTCTAGTTCTTACATTCTGATAGATGTGTGATGTAAACTCCTTGACCTAAGTTTTCCTGTGTGGGAGAAAGAAATTATAATCCTCTGGGTTACTGTACAGATTAAATGAAAGAAACTGATATACAGTAATCCCTCAATAAAGGTTGTCCATTATTATAGTCTTTGAAGTTATTATTGCAGAGTGGATAACCTCCTCAATGTGGTACTTCTTTCTGGGTGCTACATATTAAAGAAAATATTGACAGCTAGAAATAGCACCTAGGATGGCAAGAAGGTCAAAATCATATGAAGAACCTGGGAATATTTGCCTAAAAAGAGGACACCTGGTGCATGTGAAAGCCAAATTAAAATTCTGGAAATGAGATCATTATAAAGACCTAGACCCAGTGAGTGAAAATTATAGAGAAATAAATCATGGTTCTCTTTTAGGCAGAACTGACTAACAGCTGAAGCAGTCCAAATATCTGACACTAAAATTACCATATTTAGAAATTTTGAAGTACAGTATATCAGAGTTCTCCGGAGAAACAGAACCTATAGAATGTATATATACATAGAAAAAGATTTTCTTTAAGGAATTAACTCATGAGATTGTGCAGGCTGACAAGTCCCAAGTTCTGCAGAGTGAATCAGCAAGCTTGGGGACCCAGGAGAGCTGATGCTGTAGTTTCAGTCCAAAGACCTGCAAGCTTGAGCCCAGGAAGAGCTGGTATTTCAGTTCAGGCCCAAAGGCAAGAAAACACCAGTGTCCCAGTTCAAAAGCAGTCAGGCAGGAGGAAATCTCTCTTATTTCTGAGAGGATCAACCTTTTTGTTCTATTCTGGCCTTCAACTGATTGGATGATGCTCACCCACATTATGGGGGGCAATCTACTCAGTCCACCAATTTAAATGTTAATCTCATCCCAAAGCACCCTCACAGAAACACTCAGAATAATGCTAGACCAATATATCTGGGCACCCAGTGGCCCAGTAAAATTGACACATAAAATTTAACCATCACAGGGGAATTTCAAAATGTGGTGAAAATTTGGGCTGATAACCTATACAATATTTTTGCCAATGAAACTAAGGAAACTAAATCCAACAAAATATTCAGGATTATTTCCTAATTCCCAAATTACCTGTTTCCAGAAAAATTGAAGCTAGCAATTAGTTTTGGGGTGTTTATACATAAAGTCATGATATCTGTGATGATTCAAAAACTAATAGAAGAGCACAGACAGAGAGAACTAAAAAATATTGGTGAATTTTTAAAATTAATGAATTAAAATTAGCTTTTCTGCTTGCTGCTTTTCTGGATACATATCTATACTTATTAAAACAAAAACATAGCAGCAACTATGAACTGTTCAGAACTACCCTTTAGAAATAGGTAGCTAATAGGTATAGGTAGGTAGGTAGATAGATAGATAGATAGATAGATAGATAGATAGATAGATAGATCGATCTCACAAAATACACCAGATTACAGTCTTAAAATCTAAGTTCCAGTTCCTGCTCTTCCTATAACAGCATGACTTGGAGCAAATCACTTATCTCTTGAGACCTTCTTTTGCTTCGTCCCTTTCAAAATACCTTTTAAAAAGCTAAAACCATGACTATAATACAAATATAGAATGAACACATGTCAAAGATTTATTTAACTCACTAATGAGGGAGCCAACAGGATGGTAAAGCTATTTAAAAGGGTAGTAGAAGAAGCAGAAAGAAAGTGCTGGAATAAGAGTACTAAATTAGATGCCAAAATGGAATAAGATACACAACTAGTTAGAGTCTTACAAAACAATAAAAACTTTGGGGTTAACTTTTTTACCAGAAATTATGTGTGTGCCTACCAGGCAAAATTCTTATTCTACCAGCTACGAATTATTTGCATCTCCATCAATTTTCTACAAGTGAACATCTACCCTTCCAGAGTTGTAAAAATACCCTAATCAACAGTAAATAGTAAGTGAAAGAAAGATACCTACCCTAGAAAAATTATATAATGCTGTTAGACACTGTGACATCAAGAGGACATGTCATTTATTTGCCTATCTCCAAGTTTTGAAATTTTTTTACATTTGAATATCAAGAATAATAATTTCTATCTACCAGTTTGTTATGAGCCTTAAGTGAAAAAAGGTACATGGAAGTGCTTTTTTCTGAAAAGCACCACCCAAATATAAAATACTGGCATTATTACCAGTGGCTTTCTCATTGAGTCAGCCTCTGCTAAACACTTTTATTTACCCCCTACCTTTTCTTCTCTTTCTGTTTTCCCAAACGCATCCACTATCCACAAGCCAGGATTATCTTACTCTTCTTTCTTCCTCCCCACCTCCTATACCTTATAAACCACCAAACCTTGTCTATTGATCTCCTAATATTTCCCATCTGTTTAGTTATTTCCTATCTAACTTTCAAGCCTTCAATACCACATCTTCAGAATTTCTTTTCTAATCTCCACTAGGCAGATGCCCATCCACCTATCTGATCCCATAACAGCTTGCACTTCCTCAGTTCTAGCACATTACACTACATAATAAAGCATTTTAATGTCTTTATTATTTTTTAAAGGAAATTTTTACCATCTTTTTCAATATTTTTATTCCAGTGCTTGACACATTGTAGAAGATCAATAAATGTTTAATTAAGTGTATAAATGGAAAGAAAATAAACCATTCACCAGAATAAGTTGTGCATATATTTTTTAAAAAGAAAACATTATTATAAAAGGAAAGTGAAATCATAGTTCAGGAAGGGAGGGTGGGGAAGTAAGTAAAGGGAGATAATATACAAAACTTGAGAGTTGCAAGGATCTTAGATGTCATGTTCATTCCGTCACTCATTTTACACATGAGGAATCCAAAAAGTTAAAGCAATTTGCCCCATACCACACAAGTCATGACAAAGCTAGGATATCAACTTTGGTTCCATGACTCCCTGGTACAATACCAGTATGCAATGAACATCTTCAGGAGAGGAAATGGGAACAAAATGTCTTCTTTACTCTTAGCAAGGATGCAGACACTTAGTCACTTATTCACCCTTCGAGTTTCAAGGTAATACATAGGAGCAAGAGGGACAATATTCTGATTCATTGCTCCCTGGGCACATACCCATTCACCCTGCACCTGAGTAATAATGTCTCCCTATGAGACTGTGCAGTCATTCTCCTAGGTGTCCTTGAATATTCTCAACAGTCTTGTGGGAAATTGAGGGTTAGGGGTTGCTTTTTTATAGAAAATGCAAAGTGGCTAATTTCCTTCTCTCCTCCCCCACCCATCCATTTCAAACTCATCCATCAGATCTCAGAAGAGTACAATACATGAAATAACAAGAATAAAAGCCTTTATATTAAATTCCTTGTGGGTGAACTTTGCAGATAAAGCAGAACAATCTGATCTTAGCAAGTTAAATGGTTTGCAAATCACAGTGTGCTGCACCCTTCAGATGTATCCTTATGTAAAATAAATCACCTAGTATTATCATAACAGTATTTGGGGAAATTTGCAAGTGCAGTGGAGTGAGAGGGGTTTGCTTCAGAAAAATCTGCATATATATTTACATCTGTATGAATTTTTTACCAGAGGTCTACAGCTGTTTGGGAAGAGGCAACTAATTTTTCATTTACCTAAACCATAATAGCTTGATAGGAATATTGGGACAAGGGGAAAAGAATCTAGAATGTAAAGGAAGGGAAAGGAAGAGTAAAGGATGCCACCATTGAGTCCCTTGGTATATAGAACCAGAGACAAGGACAGTAAGGAGAGGGCTTGTCACGGCTAGATCTATGCCACTACCTTCTGCAAATCATAGTAACTTTCATACAAAGATCACAGAACCAGAAAAGGCTACAAGATACTCTGGTTGATAGTGGTTTGTTGATTACAGACTCTATATATTATATAGTGTATAGATTTACACACATGACATGATTGTATGTATGTAAATATATACGTGCATTTGTATATACAAATAAATGTATATAAGGAATGTACTTGCTAAACAAACAAACAAACAAAAAATGTTAGCAGCTTGCTGTTAGTAGACCATCTACTTCCACATTATGCCTTAATACTACTATATTTTTTCCTATTACGAGTACATATTTGAAAACAACTTGCCGGGACCAGAATTTAAACTTACATTTAAGAGATGAACACAAAGTAAATTATAAAACGTTTGAATGACAACTTAAACTAGCGATGGTGTTTGCATGTGTGTGCATGCACGTACACATATACACACACCCCTCATTTTATTTCCCTCTTACTCACCTGCTTTAGCCAGTAAATAAAGGCTGCACTTACCAAAAATATTATCTGCTCAGCAGCAATCTCACTACTCCATCTAGACTTAGGTACATCAGACTCCCAAACATAAAAAAGTAATACTGAGGGAGAAGTTTTTTCAATTATAAAGTCAACTGAAAAAACTTTGAGAGACTTTTTTGTGATATCATTGTAATAAATATGTCTATCATTTAGTAAATGTCTCCTTCTGTGCTGGGAACTATGCTTTACACAAACAAACAAAATAAACCCATGAAAACTCAGGCATAAGCTTTACTAAAGAAAAGTCAGTTATATCATTGTTTATAAAGACAATGTGTATACTGCAGACTTTAAAATACAAATGATCACACATGAAAAATTCCCCCAATGGTGATAAGACAAGTTGATTTATTTCCTTAGGCATGTAACTGAAATGTGCAGCACATTACAAGTTGTAAATCATTTAATATACCAAGTTCAGATCGTTCTACTCTTATTGCAAAGTTTAATCATAATAGTATATATTTTTAAAAATTATTCACCAGATTTTTTTATGCCATAACCTCTTAAACTCTAGTGGAAAGAGTAAGATATTTTTCAAAAAATGGGTGAAAATTTAAGTTAATTGAGATGGCAATATCCTTTTTAGACAAAGCATAAATCAAGATTAATAATATTCATTCTATAAGACAAGGAGACTTATTTCATAGGAATAAAATACTGAATATATAATAAAGATATAATAGTAAATCTTTATGTGCCAAATAGTACCTTTTTATATCAAACAAAAAATGTTTTATAAATAGAATCCTAAAACCCAATAAATAAATATATATACACACCCATATATATCTCTGTGTATGTGTGTGTGTAAGAACTCAACATAGCATTGTTACTTTTGACAGATTAAGTTGCAAAAAAAATAGGGATACAGGGTTCTGAATAATCTAAGTACCAACATTAATATAATAGATACACATACAGAACTTCATAACTTATAGAAAAACTTCTTATTTATAAGTGTCTGTGTAATGTTTTCCAAGACCATAAATTACCAAAAAAATTTAAGTAAAATATTTGGAGCCCATTCTTTGACAATAATGCAATAAAAATATTGGTCAGTGATAAATTTTTAAATAAAACAAAAAATTGGAAATTGTATTTTCCTAAATTATTAAGTCAAAGAATATATTAATAATATATATAATTGTAGTCCCTTTACAAAGAATCATAGTAAGAAGGTGTGACAAACACACTTTAGGGTAACCTGCAATGAGGTTCCCTTGTGTCACCCCCTACCCTTGAGTACAGGCAGAACCTGTGACCTGCTTCTAACCAACAGAATATGGCAAAGGTGAGAAAACATCACTTCCATGATTATGTCACGTTATGTGGAAATGGTGAAAGGATTTTGCAGATATAATTAAGGTCCCTAATCAGTTGACTTTGAGTTAATTATAAGGAGGAATATTCTGAGTGGCTCTAGCCTAATCAGGTGAGCCATTTAAAAGCAGGAAAGCCCTAAAGACCAACAGTAAAAGGCATTTCAGTAAACTGTCACAGGGTCAGAAAGTAATATTTTACTTTAAATCATAAACATTTTTGAGGTTGACATTCTTAAGCATAGATTAGAGAGCTTTTTAGTTGAGGTCATGTATCAGTCAGGGTTTGAACCAGTATTAGTGATACAGAATAAGAGATTCGTTATAAGGGCTATTATTCAACTGTGGGAGAAGATGAGGATATAAAGATTCAGAAAGGGATGGATAGAGGATCATAGAAAACTCACTAACCAGGGGCTGGGAGTGGTGGCTCACGCCTATATTCCCAGCACTTCAGGAGGCCGAGGCAGGCAGATCACTTGAGCACAAGAGTTCGAGAGCAAACTGGCCAACATGGCAAAATACCATCTCTACTAAAAATACAAAAATTAGCCAGATGTGATGATGCACATCTGTAATCCCAGCTACTCATGAGACCGAGACATGAGAGTCCCTTGAACCCAGGAGGCAGAGGTTTCAGTGAAACCAGATCATGCCACTACACTCCAGCCTGGGCTAGACTCTGTCTCAAAAAAGAAATAAAGAAAACTCACTAACCAGGGACCATGGAGGGGAAATGGTAAAGAGACTTATGGAGGGGCATAGGTTCTGTAGCTGGTGCTGAGTCTGAAGTTACTGCTAAGTCAGCTTGGTAGGCAGTCAAGAAGGAGAGCGAGACACAAATTAGGGGAAAACAAGGACAAATTGAAAGGTGCACCTGACTCTCACTGAATGTAATCCTAATAATGAAGGTGACTATGGAAGACGCTGGTGCTTTCCACCATGGAGTTGCACACATGCCTGGCCTAAGATTCAGAGAAGCTGAAGTTGTTGATCCAGCCAGTGCCGGAAAAGCTGTGGACTCATCTGCTGCCCCGCACCGAGAAAGTGAGCCAACAGATCAGCCATCTGTACATAACTTTGCAACAGCAGATCAGCGACAATGTTTATGACCTTCAAAGTGCAGTGGCTGCTGTCGGCTTCAGCCTGCCAGCTCTCACCCATGTAACTCGCCTGGTTAACCCTAATCCAAAACTATAGAGGGAAGGAAATTCTGTAAAACAGATCTCCAACTCAGCTAAATTGACACAGTGCCAAATCAGTCCTATGAATTCATGGTGATCTATTTTTTCCTATCTCAGCTTTTTCCTTTCTATGATATTCTTCTGCTAATTATGAACCACATCAATGAGCCACTATTGACAAAATGGAAAGATTATTCTCTATACTGGCAATGTATCTTTCTATGCAGATAAAATCAATGATTTGGATTTCCAACTCCAAAATCAGATGAAAAAAAATGTTTTTATGATTCTGCCACATTTTAGCCCAAAGTTGTTTCTCTAATAAAAAGATTAGCTATGCTAATTTTCACAACCTTAAAAAATTCTACTAAGAGCAAATGTCCTTCATTTTCCACAGCAAAAAGGGAGAAAGTAAGCAATTAGGTTTAGAGCAATGGAGAAGACTATTTAAATTTTTATCTTTGCCCTTGTAATTTAAAAAACTGCCTTCCTTTATATACAGTTATTTACTGCAACTTTATTAATGTAAAAGATATTATTTTATCTTAAATGTTGAGGTCTATTAAACATAGAAGACTCAAAAATAGATGACAGCTTCTTTTTTCAAGCACATTAAACCCTTATCTCAATTTGATTTTTCAAAATTGTAAGGCACAAATTATCCAGCACGTAACACTCTTGAGTCTCTTTTCTGGCCTGTAAAGTCAACAGTTATGGTGCTAAAGTTTAACCAATCCTATAAAACATTACTCAAAAAGTGACCTGGTGTTATGCCTGAAGTGCATCTCCTGCATTAAAAAGTACTTTCAATGCAGCCAGAACAGTGTTATTGAAAGAGAGAGAACTAATAGATACCTGGACGTGGATGGGGGAAAAGGAGAGGGGAAAGAAAGTCAAATGGGAGAGAAGGCCACAAAAATCCCATTTTCAAGCAGTTCCCTAAGGAGATGTGCTTGCATAGATGAATGCACAGGTTGAATAACAAAGGTCTTTTATGTTATTTCAAGCCAAAGACTCCAAAGAATTTCAGCGTGAAACCAGGCGCGTCTTTCCTTTTGGTAGAAACTAGAGATTCCAACACAGAAAAGCAGGAGGGGTTGCCTGATCAGAGGTCACTAACACAAGCGACTGTCTTGGAAATCTCAGCACTGTTCCTGACAATTATTTTTTTAATATAAATAAATCTTTTGGTAGTCATTACACATGCCAGGAATATAATCTCTTTACTTCTAAAATCACACGCATGTATACACACACTCACACACACACACTATATGTGTACATAATATGCTTGTTCATTTGAATAAATATACATGTGTAAGAACTTAAGATTTGTTACATTTTGAAAATGCAAGTATAGAAATGTAAAATTAATTCAACCAGTACCATTTTGTTGGGGAAATATCCACAATAAAATATAAAACTACCCCAATTTCCCATATCTCCAATTCTGCCTCCAAGAGGTAATCCCAGTTAATGTTACGTTTATCCTTCCCGACATTTTGTTTGCTTTTACAAATATATGCAACCAGTACATCTTCTTCTGCCCCTGGATGAAAACTAAAGTGGACCCCATGACTATTCTAGTCTCTCTTAGGTGACAGTCAATCCTACGGTTACTTCGAGTCTCTAACAAAGGCTATGTCTAAGCAAGATAATAATAACAATGAAAAACTGTATTCTCAATGTGAAGATCAAGTTTCTCTCCTGTGGATATGTGGATGCTGCTCATACTTGCAGTAGACAGGACAGCTGTATTTGAGGAAGAGCATGTGATTGATTTCTTCTCTGTTTCACCACTTAGCATTTCTACTCATTCTTCTTAACTATACTTTTTGTTTCCTCAAGGGCTATTGTATCAGTAAAAGGGAGAAAGACATTTCTTAATTACTTATTGTTGGAAGCTGGCCTTGAGTTTCTGGGCCTTCAGGAATCAAAAGCTGATTCACTATGGGACACTTCCTTAGCTCTCCCTTCAGCCTATATTGTTGTGGCTCTCTTCACCTGGAGTTTTCTTAATATTGGTAATTTCATCTTCTCCCTGCTGGTCGGGGACTTCCTTCTCAGCCCCAGAATCCAGTGTTACCTGCCACTTCTCTCTGCTGCTCTTGGATAGGGTCTAAGAAAAATCTCTCTCTCTGTCTCTCTTGCTCTCTTTGAGTGTGTGTGTGTGTGTGTGTGTGTGTGTGTTTTTCTCTCTCTCATGCATGGCCCACATTCAGTTCATGGGAAACACACACAAAGCTTCTTCCCACCAACTCCAGACTGAGGGCAGCCAAAGACTCCTTTGGCTCTGTTGACAGCTATCTTCTACCCTCTCCATTTCTCAGATGGAAATCAAACACCAGTCCATGTCCCCCAGATGCAGGACACATGTATCATGCTTGCCAAGTGGCCCCATTGAAACCCTCTCACCAGGTTCAAGGGGAGGGGCAAGACCCTATAACTCTTCCTCTGGGGAAAAGGAAGTGGAAGCTTTTCCACAGTGCATTAACAGTCCTTCCCAATTACCCTCATAAATCTACTTTCAATCTCCCCTTTCCTGAATATTTTATATCCTCAAGCTATGAGGGGTTTTAAGAATCTTAAGATGATTCTTAAGATTCTTAAAACTCATCCATCTGATTTTCAGCTTATGTTTGTAAGTCATGTGGAATGATCTGTCTCACCAGTCCCTTTAATGTCTGATATCTATCAACTTAGAGTCTTGGTTGAAATATTTATTTTAACATCATCTTATACATATACATGGGCATGTATGTACATACATGAATGTGTGCATATATCATACATATACATAAGATTATTTGGTAAATTTATACCCCAATTTTACAGAATGTTTAGGTAATGGGCATTCTGGTTCATCTGAAAATTATTTTCATTTTGGACACAACTGTTAAACTATAAGAGGTTATAATTATTTGAATTATTTTATTCAAATAAAGTGACTTTTATATATGCTTTTGATTGGTTTTTTAGGGTCAGTGTAAATTGGGAAATTTATGTTAATTCAGAGCAGAAATTAACCAAGTTCAAGTTAATACAGGTTTTGCTCTACTGTATGCTTCCTCTTCTTAAAACTCTTCCTCTCTCCTTTTTCTGGAGATGTCAAATGCCTCTTCTTTGTTATAAAAAGGCAGCAACATCCACACATTAGGAACTGATCTGCTCTGAGGAAAGGATTTCCCCAACACTGGATTTCCCTGAAATGCTAATACAAGAGAAAAAATATTTTCCCAACTTTTAAGACTCCTTATCTGTTGCTCTTTCATCATGAAAGATACCGATAGTTATTTCTAAATAAATAAATAAATTCTGAGTTTTTCACCTTCTTCACATGTGCTCACTCATTGTTCCTAATGCGAAGGACTAGCAACTTCCCTCCTATCACCCCAGGAGCAGAAGGGATAGTAAGTAGCCTACATAATATTCTGCTCAAGAATGTTTTAAGGCATCCTAAAGGAAACATTCTCCAACAGAGTCTGTTTTGTTATGTGTTCAATAACCATATGTTCATTTCTATGTGGATAATGTGCAGCATAACAGATACCTGCAATGATTCAAAGAGAAGGCAATTATTGACTCAAGGGGGTTTTACTGATTAGACTCTGAATGGCTTAAACATGACCAGAACTCCAATTGGGCATTATTAAAAGTTTGCTTCGATTCTTGGGTATTTGTTCTTTTATGCATAACAGGTTTCTAAAATACACATATCACCTTCCATGTTCAATGGGATGCTATGATTAATTATGATCCAAAACACAATGTCATTTTACATTTTGGAAAAAAAAACTTACTAAACTTTCTCCCAATTGAATACTTTTGACATGCAACATCATAACTTTAATTCAAAATAAATCTTCTGAGACACGTACAGGGCAGTAAACATGAATCTGCTGAATGGATAAATGAAAAAATGAGCAAAGCAAACTTGCAATGCAGATGGATAAAGAGAACCTGAAAAGTAAAATGGGAAAATATATCCCTGGGCAATTCCTTTGTCCCAGAGAGAGAAAAAAAAAGCCAACAATGAAAATCTCACCAATTGTTACTGAAAATTCTAGCTTATTTGGTTCTCACAAAAACCTGTGTAGTAGATGGTGTAAGGGATCATTAATCACAAATAAAACCACTGAGGTTTAGAGAGCTTACGTTTCCCCAAGGTCATACAATTGCTAAGACTAATTCATTCAATGTGTATTTATGTGCTGTGCCCCCAGAATTAAAATAATGCAATATAACAAAGAATGACTAGATAATGACTATATATTGAGTGATCAGTGAAGGTCTTTCTAGAGTGGTGACATTTAAGCTGAAATCTCAAATAGAAGTCAGCCAAGCAAAATCAATGGAAAGAGAACACTAGGCAAAGGCCACAAATGCAGAGGCCCTGAAGTAAGACAGAATTGGGTAAGTTCAAGAACCAAAAGGAGGTTAATGAGATGGAGATTTCAGTAAGGAGTTCTATGGCAGCCAGCGTCCAAGATGGTCCCCAGTGGTCCCCATCTCTGGTAATCTTACCCTTGTGTAGTCCTCTCCCACATTGTACCAGACAGTTGGTCTGTAATATCAGCATAATACAGCAGAAATGATGGTATTTCACTCCTGAGATGAGGTTATAAATAATTGCAGCTTCCATCTTGAGCACATTCTTTCTCTCTCTCTCTCTCTCTCTGTATCAAATCACTCACTCTGGAGAAAGCCAGCTGTCAGCTCATGAGGTCACTCAGGCAGCCTGTGGAGAGCCCCATGTTGCAAGGACCTAAGCCCTACGAACTTGTGAGTAAACTCGGAAGCATCTCCAGTTGAGCCCACCATGACTGCAATCCTGGAGGACCTCTAGACTGCAATCTCATGTAAGGCCCTAAACTAAAACCATGCAGTTAATCTGTTCCTGGATTCCTGACCCACAGAAACAGTGAGATAATAAATACTTGTTATTTTAAGCTGCTAATTTAGAGTAATTTGCAAAGCAACAATAGATAACTAATACTGTAGTGTGACAAGTGTGTGACAAGTCCCCGACAAGTTTACTTAAGATTATATGTCCACTGCTTCAACCTTGCAGGCTGGGCACCATGAGCCAAGGCCATGGTGCCCAGCTGAGGAACAGGTGTCCCTGAGAACCCAAACATTCTGGGACATCACAAAAAAGCATACCAGAGAAAACAGTCTCATCATGTACACAAAGTAGGCAAAGAGCCAAAAAATTAGCTTAAAGTTATCTTAAATTAGCTTAGAAATTGGAGGTGGTGCAGATCTCCTGCTGTCCTGCGACCACCCAGGAATGCCCTGTACGTTAGTCCTAATAAACTCATCTACTCGCCATGCTGGACATGTCCAACTCATTCTTTGATCTCTCGGCTCCTTTCCAGCTTGTGGGGCATATTACAGGCCTAGGTTTTTCTTGTAACAAATACAAATTCTAAATTACTGATCTTTTCACGAGTCTGTGTTATTAAAAGAACCTTATTAGAAATTCTTTTGTATTGTAAGTCATTGGCCCTTCATTTGACTACTATAAGACTGGATTTTCATTATATTGACTAATTTGGTCACTGTAACCAAACACTTACAGGGCCTGGAACAAGAGTATAAATAAAAAACTACATACTACATGTCTGAATATTTAAAAGTTCCAAATCAAGATAGCTAACTATTAAATAAAATATGCCCTATCCCTCTACCATGACAAACATATCTTCATAAGCTCCTAGAAAACCAGCTTCCCAAATGTAAAATTTTGTGACTTTTAGGAGATTAGCATATGATTATACTGGGCCTCAGCCCCCAAGCTATGTAACATAATGAAATGTTCAGAGAGGAAAACTGGTTCTCTGTGGCAGAGATTGTTCAGTTTTTGGTCTTCAGTCTTCGGCATAGAAACCATGACATTTTTTAATATGTAAAAAATAGCCCAGCATTTCAAATTTTCTAATTATTTATAGTCTGCATATTCTGGATAAATGTAGCAAAATTATCTTTATTGAATTATTACCTTCTTTATATTTACATAAAGCTGCACACAGACTTTTTTCTGTTTTAGCATAAAGCAAAACTAGAGTACTGATTTAAATGTGTTTGTAAGAAATAACCAGGGTATCTATCCCTTTGGCCTTATTCACAGAAAAGGCAAACATTTAATACCATTGACACATCTTTGTAATTTGAGCTGCTAAAGGATGTAATTCTCCCATTAAAACTCACTGGAAAGTCAAACCAATTCACAGAAAACATATCAACTCACCATGAAGTTACAGGGAATGTTTGCATATTTTTAAGAAACTTAATTCATGTACTTGATCTAGCCTTCTGAGAAATCTAGTCATGTAATCTCAAATAACTCACTGGAAACCAACTTGGCAGAACCCTCAATTAAGTGAGACATTTCCCAATAGTAAACTTTCAAGACAAATAAGAAAAAATAATCATAGGGTTATAAGGTATAACAAGAATTTATGATAAAAATAATTTCCTTTACACTGCTAATAACTTCTCACATAGCATAGCCCTCCCAAGTGCACCATGTTTTGAAAGATTTTGTGTTCCAAGTTGTAATTATTAAATATTATTTATTTAGGTAATGACTGTAACTGTCATTCTGAGGTTCTGATTTACCAGGTAACAAAATTATGGTCAAAAGCAAAGAATTCAATATTTTAGTTAATCTGGACAACTTCAACAAAGGGTAATATATTTCTGTTACTTTTTTTTTTTTTTTTTGAGACAGAGTCTCACTCTGTCGCCCAGGCTGGAGTTCAGTGGCATGATCTCAGCTCACTGCAAACTCTGCCCCCCGGTTCAAGTGATTCTTGTACCTCAGCCTCCCGAGTAGCTGGGATTACAGGTGCCTGCCACCACACCCAACTAATTTTTGTATTTTTAGTAGAGACGAGGTTTCCATGTTGGCCAGGCTGGTCTGGAACTCCTGGCCTCATATGATCTGCCCACCCCGGCCTCCCAAAGTGCTGGGATTACAGGTATGAGCCACCACACCAAGCTCATTTTTTATAATAGTAAAAATAATTCACTGATACCCATTGTTATATTTTGAACCCACTAAAGTTCAGAAATCTTAGTCTAGAAACCAGTGTTTTGATATTTACTCTTCCAATTTATAATTATATATTGAAAAATATATATTGAAAATGTTCAAATATAATATAATCTCTGAATCATCAAAGATTAAAATTGTTAGCCACAAAAAAATATTTTTGTAAAGCTCCTTGGTAGTCAAGGAATATAAAGGCAAAAAGTTTTCCCTCCCTGAGCTCAGAGGACACTGAAAGTTACGAGCTGTTTATTCGCTCATGTAATCTACAAATAAATGAAGAACACCATTTGTGCACCAGGCTTTGTTAAGTACTTGGAAATTAAAGACAGATCCCTGCCTTCCAAATATTCACTAACCTATTGATATGGTTTGGCTGTGTCCCCACCCAAATCTCATCTTTAATTGTAGTTCTTATAATTCCCACTTGCTGTGGGAGGGACCTGGTGGGAGATAATTGAATCATGGGGGTGGTTTCCCCTATACTGTTCTCATGGTAGTAAATAAGTCTCACAAGAGCTCATTATTTTATAGGGGGTTTCCCCTTTCACTTGGCTCTCATTCTCTCTTTGCCTGCCACCATGAGAGACATGACTTTGTTCTTCCCTCACCTTCTGCCATGACTGTGAGGCCTCCCCAGCCACGGGGAACTGTGAGTCCATTAAACCTCTTTGTCTTTATAAAGTACCTAGTCTAGGTATGTCTTTATGAGTGGTGTGAAAATGAACTAATACACCTATAAAGGGGGAAAACTTATTAAATAAACATGTGCTACAAAAGGCATTGATCTAGAGAAGAATACAGGCATGAGAAAGGAAGTAATCAGCAATACCTGGAGTTTCAGGGAATTCTTTATAAGAAAGGTAACATAAACTAAGCCAAGAAAAATGAGATTGTATTAGAGACATATGAACTTGGAATAGGATATTCATGATAGGAAAATGAATAATGAAGAAATTAGAAGACTATTACCACTTGGCATATGTGGAGAACTGTAAGCAGGATATAAGTAGTACAATAGAATTGAAGATTAGAATAGGAGAAATGGTACAGCAAGAGTTATGAGTAGGAAAATTTACCAAGTAAGATATATGTATTAAAAACATTTGATAAAAGGTAGAATATTATCAATGGTATCATAGACTTACTCCACTAGACAGAAGAAATCCAGTATAGAATTTTTTATAAGTAAGTGGAATAATTACTATGCTATATTTTCTAAGTAAATAAAAGCTCTTGATACCAAATCTAAACAAAGATATAATAGTACAAAAAGAAAACTATAGAACAAGATCCCTCATGAACATAGACCAAAGAAAATCTCAAAAAAAAAAGTAAATTGAACCCGACAATATGTAAAAAGAATAATATACAAAAATCATTTAGAGTTTACCACAGGAATGCAAGGATGGTTCAATATTTGAAAATTCATCAATATAATCAACCATATTAACAGTCTAAAAAAAAAGAAAACTAAAGCATTTGACAAAACTCAATATCCATTTATAATAAAAATTATCAGAAAATGACAATATAGAAATGAATATCCTCAACCTGAAAAGGGGTATATACCACAAAAACCTACAGCTAATTTTGTATTTAATGGTGAGAGAATGAATGCTTTTCCCTAAGACTGGGAACAAAGCAAGGCTGTCCAAACTCATCACTTCTATTCAGCATTATACTGAAAGTTCTAGCTAGTGCAACAATTCAAGAAGAAGAAATATTAATAAAAGTCAAATATATTTAAATGGGAGAAATAAAAATGTCTCTATTTATAACATCATGATTTTCTGTGTGGAAAATTCTAAGGAAAGTAGAAAAAAAACCCTGCAAACTCTTGCAACTAAAGAGTTAATGACTATAAAGTTATAGCATACAAGGTCAACAAACAAAATTTAATCATATTTTTATATATTAGCAATTTACAATTAGAAAATAAAATCAATTCTATTTATAATAGATTCACAAAATTAAATACTTAGGTGTAAATCTAACAAAGCACATACAGGATTTAAGCTCTGGATTTTAAGCAAAAGAAACTCCTTTAGATATTTGGAAAAAGGAGCAAATGACTTATAAAGGAAATAAAATTATATTTTCATCAGACATTTCAACATCAAACTTTATTCTAAAAAGCAGTGGAGGCCGGGCATGGTGGCTAACACCTGTAATCCTAGTATTTTGGGAGGCTGAGGCGAACAGATTGCTTGAGCCCAGGAGTTTGAGACCAGCCTGGCAAAAAAACCCATCTTTACAAAAAAAATACAAAATAAATATCTGGGCATAGTGGCACATGCCTGTAGTCCTAACTACTCGGAGGTGGGAGGATTACCTGAACCTGGGGAAGTCAAGAGGTCAAGTCTGCAGTGATACATGATCATGCCACTGCACTCCAGCCTGGGTGACAGCTGGGTGACAGAGTGAGGTCCTATCTCAAAAAAAAAAAAAAAGGAAAATAAGAGTGAAGTCACATATTTAAAATACTTTTTTTTTTTTGAGACAGTATCTCCCTCGGTCACCCAGGCTGGAAAACAATGGTACAATTATGGCTCACTGCAGCCTTGAACTCCTGGGGTCAAGTGATCCTTCTCCCTCAGCTTCCCGAGTAGCTGGGACTACAGGCATGCAAAATCACACCTGGCTAATTTTATTTTATTTATTTATTTTTGGTAGATAGAGATAGGGGTCTCCCTATGTTGTCCAGGCTGAGCCCAAGTGATCCTCCTGCCTCAGCCTCCCAAAGTGCTAGGAGTACAGGCATGAGCCACCATGCCCAGGCTTTATGATACTTTCTATTAGAGTTCTCCAGAGAAACAGGACCAGTAGGGTGTGTATAGAGAGAGATTTATTTTAAAGAAAAGGCCCACATGATTACAGAGGCTGGCAAGTCTAAAATCTGCAGAGTGGGCTGGCAGGCTGGAGACCCAGGAAAGAATAAATGTTGCAATTCAAGGCCAAAAGCTGTCTGCTGCAGCCACTTGCTCAAGGGAGGTGAGTCTATTGTCCTAATCCAGAACTGTAACTGGGTAAGACCCACCTCACATTATGGAGGGCAATTTGCTTTACTTAAAGTTCACCAATTTAAATACTAATGTCAGCAAAAACACCCTCCCAGAAACATGAAACAGACAAAATGTTAACAATATGAAGAGCTCAGAGAACAGTATGCCCATGAGTTCTTCCTGGGGAATTACTGGATAATGAACTTCAGAAAACCAAAATAACTAGAAAAACATTAACATAATGATTGGTGAAACTAAACACCCGTGACTTCTAATATCACAAAAGGAAAGACAACCTGACATTATGTGCTGCATGATGAAGGAACATTACACCACCTTTAGTATTACCAAAGGAATTAAACTTAAGTATTATCAAGCCTCTGGATTAAGATGACCATTTGAAGAAAATATAGCGGACAAAGGAAAACTGAACTGCCCCTTAAGCATGCAATCAGCAGAAGGAAGATACTGGGAAATTCTGTAGGTCACAGGACTCATGTTCTTCAACAGAATAATTTTAAGGTAAAAAGAAGAGGTGAAAACATGCTATAGATGAAATTAATTTAACTTTATAGCAAAATGTTTAAATGCAAGATAAAACTGTGGTATTCAGGGAAGCACACTTGGATAATAAAACTATAAGAAAATGCAATGAACGATTACAATAAAAATTAAGATAGTGATTACTTTTGCAGGTAAGGAGGCAGTTGTAATTAGGGTGCTTCTAAGCAAGTTCACAGTATGACTTTTGAGGGCCTCAGGTACTTTTGCCTTGTGGGCTCCTACCAACACAAAAAAAACTTTTTAAAATTACATTTTAAGATTGTGTTAGCATAAAGATAAATGTATTCATATGTTAACATGAATATATTAATGTTGTATATCAAAACTTTTTTCTAAAAAAAATTAAGACATCTTCATAGGTCTCTAAATAAATCAAAACATTTTTAAAGAAATTAAAATATTTCTGTGGCTACTAAAAGTATTGTGGGCCCTAGGCTCTTTGCCTACTAAGCCTAAAGGATGTATCAGCCCTGCTTCTGAGCTGACTAACAATGTTCTGTTTCTTGACATAGGTGATAGGTACAGGGATATTTGCCTTATTCATTAAGCTGATTTAAGTCTAAGTGTG
Source organism: Homo sapiens (assembly GCF_000001405.40). NCBI lineage: Eukaryota > Metazoa > Chordata > Mammalia > Primates > Hominidae > Homo > Homo sapiens. Next base: position 83,698,526 of record NC_000004.12, on the reverse strand, counting down.
TGAGAGAGAAAGTGTGTGTGTGTGTGTGTGTGTGTGTGTAAAATAGACTAACACTGGTGGGCTTCCACTTCTGGTGATAGCAGATGAGGTAATTAGAAACAAATCCCTTCCTGCTTGAAGGCATTGGGGAACTAAAAAATAAAATTGTAGGAATTACTAAGCCAGGATTAGGAAGGGTCAGAGACTCTAAGAAATGATTCAGGCACTTTGGCTTGTTTTTAATCCTGGGAACATTTACTAACTTTGGAAGGTGAAGTTGAGAGGCTTAAAGACTGAGCAATCTTTCGGGATTGAGGGACTGACAGAGTCCAAGATGTGCCAAGGGATAGAAAAGCTTTGGTAAAGCCACCTTTCTTTGGATTAGTACCCTGAATAACTACCCCTTTGCAGAAGGGATAATCCAGAAGAAGAATGATCTTTAAAAAGATTGTAATCTAAATTTCAATTATTGAGATAATTCCTGTTGCCTGGTAGAAGCAAATGTAGAGCCTCTATGTAAAAAGACCTTATCATTCTAAACCTCAAAATTATTTTCCCCAACAATTTTGCAAATACAATTTTCTGCATGCAGTCAAAAATAACCAGGCAAATTATGAGATAAGACAACATAAACAGAAACAGCAGAAACAATAGACAGTAGAACAAAACCTACAGTGGCTCGAGAAAGAGTAGTCACTACACAGCAACTGTAATATAATTATGAAAACTATATTCAAGAAGATAAAAGAAACTATATAGACTGTAGGTAAAGAACTGGGAACTATAAAAAATAACTACATGGAAATTCTAAAACTAAGACAAATTATAATAACCAAAAATAAGATCTTAACAAATGGATTTAAAAGCAGAGTACATTACATTAAAAAAAGAATGAACAGGAAAAAATCAGAAGAAAATAAGAACTAAAGTATGAAGATATGAAAAGATTTTTAAATGTGATAGAGAGAATAAGACATACAGAGAACACTGAAAAGTTTGAATATGCATGGAGTCACAGAAAGGAGAAAGATAATGTAAAAAAGCAATAGCTGAAGAAAATATGATAGAACTATTTAAAACTGATGGAAAACATAAAGCTATGGATTCAAGAAGGCCTATAAAAGCCAAGGATAAAAAGAAAATTACAGAGCCATAATATTACTGAAGGATGACTTCTCAATAGAAACAATGAGGGCCAGAAATATTAGAATGGTATTTTTAAACTTGCAAAAGGAAGTAACTTACAGTCTAGAATTCTACACACTGCAAAAATGTCTTTCAAAAGTGAGAGTAAAATAAAGACATTTTCAGACAAACAGAACTGAATTTGTCACCAGCAGACCCACTCTAAGTGGAATTGTAAAGGTTTGTCACTACATTTTTTTTCATAATTTTATGTAAATTTATTGAAGAGAAATGATGCTTGCTAAATTAAAATCTGATCAGTTGAGTGTATGTCGGTATCACTCTTTTAGCAAACTAATAACTGCATAAACATTTCTTGCATGTGTTAAAACTTCGGGCTCCTACAGATCAACTTTTTGATGATTATAGAATAGCACAATTATTTTATATTCTTACAATTACTGCTTACATAATGCAGAATAATACCTACTTTAGTAAAAATCTATTCATCTCATCATGTTCTTGTTCCTAAAAGTAAGGAACTAAGGTTTCATTTAGGGTGGCTCAGTTGGTCTGTTTTGGAAAGGGAAAAGGTAAGGTTAGGTAGTTTATGTTGCTATATATTGATTCACAATCCTGGGACCTTCTGTTCGAAGATACAAAAAATACATACATCCTAATAATTGCATTCTTACACTAACTTTTGGGGCTAGAATTATCATTTTACTTGCCAATGACCTACATAGTAGCCTAAACCAAAAATCATATAGGATATTGTTATGTTTTCCCAATTTAAGTATAAAAATATTTATATGTTCCACTTGTTCCTTTTCACGGTTTCCACCATGCTCTATTGGCTTACACCTGGCATTTTGTGTGACAGAGGTTTCAACTTTAGAAATGCCAAAAAACAAAATGTGGGTACAAGAAGGAAAAGATGACAGAGTTGGTTTTTTTCTTTTTTTTTTTTTTTTGAGATGAATTCTCACTCTGTAGCCAGGCCAGAGTGCAGTGGTGTGATCTCAGCTCACTGCAGCCTCCCTCTCCCAGGTTCAAGTGATTCTCCTGCCTCAGCCTCCCGAGTAGCTGGGACTACAGGTGTGCGTCACCATGACCAGCTAATTTTTGTATTTTTAGTAGAGACAGGATTTCACCATGTTGGCCAGGATAGTCTCGATCTCTGGACCTTGTAATCCACCTGCCTCAAACTCCCAAAGTGTTGGGATTACAGGTGTAAGCCACCGCTCCTGGCCAGATATTTTAATTTATCAAGATTTACGTAAAACAAGGAAAAACGACTGTTACTTTAACATTTGTCACTAAAGTGCTTCTTAGGAAGAAAATTTGTCTTTAAGTAAGAAATATTTTTAAAACCTATTACATATAAAGATAAGACCTTGAGATTAAGGATTGGCTAGGGAAATGAGACAAGCACCTCTGTAGGCAAATATAGGTGAATGGGAGGGCTCTAGAAAAGAGAGAGAAGAGGGAAGGAGAAAGGGAAACAAGGAAGGCTGGGTAAACTGGCAGGTGGCTGGAGCCTACATAAGAAGCCAATTAACCAAGATAGCTGAAGGATTTTAAAGAACAGGATATTTAATACTTAATGGTATGCTGTTTATGCCTCTGAGTTAGGAAACCCCTCCACTATTGTAAAGCGTCTACTAAATTCTGCTATAAACAAAAGTTTCCTGTGAGTTTTTTGGGAAGAAAGCTAGGAAAGGGGGCCAAGTTCTGTATCTGTAATTTGTTAAATATAAAAAAAAAATACAAGATAAAATGTTCATTAAATTGAAAGTTCAGGGAAAACAGGAACTTAGAGTTAAAAGTGAGTGTTAAAATGTAGATTTACAAGAATTTGCGAAATTTTGACCAACTGCTGAGATTCTCAAAGAATACTAGGAAGCCTTTCCTTAAAAATCTCATATACAAGGTGACTTCAGTTGATATCTGGATCATGTCTTTTTTTACTATTTAAAAATTTACATTATTCCTACCACCAAAAGCACTGGAAAGAATACTTGAGAAACACAGGCTTAATTGAAGATGACAATGGCATCCTACTGCTAGAAATTATCAAGATAGAGTATTTTCATTAAGCAAATCAAAATCCAGAAAAGATAATAAACATCTTCCAGGTCCCAACATTACCTCCTTGATTCCGCTTTGACTTCAATTCCTAATGCTATGTTGGGCACTTAGTAGGAGCCCAAGAAACTATTGTTAAACTAAATCTATGGACAAAGGACTTGGTTTTATTAAGGTCTTTTCCTTAATACGGAATATTGCTACATTAGAGTTTCCATTAGACCGCTGGTATTCATGCAAGTGGACACATATAAGGACTTTCAAACTTGTTAGAGCATAAAAATACCATTTTAGAAATTACTTATCCTGGAATAATATTTCTTAGAGAATTATCACTGGAAGGTTGAAAAAAAGATCTGATATTTTATCTGAATAAAGGTACTCACTAAAGCAGAGTTTGAATGCTTTCGAATACTTTCATATGTGCATAAAAAAGAATTCCAGAAATGGTAGAGAATATACCTTCTTCTCACTGAACGTAACAAATGTAAATCATTTGTTTGAAACAGAAAAAAATGTTGAGTAGGTCATTGTGTAACAACAAAAAATACTAAGAAATATTTTAGAAAGGAAAAAATAACAGAAAAAAAAAGCTTCAATCTCTGCTAGAGTGATCAAATTTGCATATAAAGCTGTGTTCTCCAAATACCTGTTCATTGAAACATTTCTGTTATGAAAGAGACAAATGAAAAAAAAAAAACTAATTAAAAGTTTATTTCACAAAGCAATTTCCTTATGTTGCACAATATATATATGTAGCAGAATATATGTGTGTGTGTTTATATATATATATGTATATATATATAATCACAGCTCTATAAAGAGAAAAGATCACATTAGTTTGAAGGCCTTTGTTAAATTGAGCATCTTTGCAGAAAAGGGCAAATTTATATTTGGAAGTGGGGAGAGAATCAGTATTCCAGGAAGGAGGAAATGAAAAACAGAGATGGAAGAAAGAGGAAAGATGGGCAAATAATAAGAGGTCACATGCTCTGCAGTGATGCCCTATCTTGTAACGTCTCCTTAAATATTTAGTAAATGCACCCAGCATTTACTAAATGCTGGTTCACACCTGTAATGCCAGTGGTTCACACCTGTAATGCCAGCACTTTGGGAGGCCAAGGTGGGAGATCACCTGAGGCCAGGAGTTTGAGACCAGCCTGGGCAGGATGGCAAGACTCCTTCTCTACAAAAACATTAAAAACAGCCAAGTATGGTGGCATGCATCTGTGGTCCCAGCTACTCAAGAAGCTGAGGCAGGAGGATCACCAAGCCCAGGAGGTCAAGACTGCAGTGAGCTGTGATCCCACCATCGCACTCCAGCCTGGGTAACAGAGCGACACTGTCTCAAAAATCCATCTATATATTTATTTATACATATATATTTATATATTACATACAAAACATATATTTATATATATATATATAATATATATTTATATATAAATAATATAATATGTTATATATAATATAATATATATATTTAAATAATATATATTATATATAAATATAATATATTACATATAATATATATTTATTATATATAATATATATTTATAATTTACATACACATTATATGTAATATATACCACATAGACAGTTACTATGAAGTAAATTATAAATATATTTATGTGTATACATATATTTATAAAATATAAAATAAAATAAATATAAAATATGTAAATATATATTTTATATACTTATGAAAATATATATAATATATAAGCTGGGATTAAATAAAATATTTATATTTAATATATATTTATATTTACAGATGGTATTAAATATAAATATGAAAAATATATATTATATAACTATATAAAAACAGTTATATAAATATATAAAACATATATTTATATAAATATGTTAAAATACGAATACATTTATATTAAAATAAAATTATATTAAAATTAAATATAAATATTAAATATTAAACACTGATTATATTAAAATTAAATATAAACATATTAAATATATATATTTCATCCTAGGTATATATCTATTTTTGTGTATTATATATTTTATACATAAATATATATTTATATTTATGATTTACATATAATGTACAATTATAATATATAATTTACATATAATATACTACATATTATATGTAATATAATATACTACATATTATATGTAATATAATATACTACATATTATATGTAATATAATATACTACATATTATATGTAATATAATATACTACATATTATATGTAATATAATATACTACATATTATATGTAATATAATATACTACATATTATATGTAATATAATATACTACATATTATATGTAATATAATATACTACATATTATATGTAATATAATATACTACATATTATATGTAATATAATATACTACATATTATATGTAATATAATATACTATACATAGTGATGTACCATAGTATATATACAGTATATAATATGTAATTATATATTAATTATTTATATAATTATAATATAAATATACATATTTATATGTATATAATATAATATTACATGTTATATATTACATATTATATTTATATGTAAATTATATATTGCATTATAGTTATAAATCATATGATTATAAATATATATTTAGTAAATGCTGATAAAACTTATTAAATTTCTATTAAGTGACACTTTATGACGAGTGGAAGGGAGGACCACTTAAATGGGTAAATTTTATGTTTAGGATGTGACAGTATTGTTTACGAAAAGCCTTTTTTTTTAATTCTCATAAAACACATGTCAATGACTTCTTCAACTTATGAATGAGGGAACCAGCAGGAGGAGAAGCTGGTTCCAGGAGCATTCAAGGAATTGGGCACCTCTAGGCATGGAAAAGATAATGTTAGAATAAGATTGTTAGATAAAAAACAAAATAGTTAATATCCTAGAGGGTAATAAAAGCATAACCTTAGGATATATGACATTTGCATTTTCACTAGAAAAATAATCAAACACTAACATAAATTTCACAGGGTTCTTAGTCATAGCAAATCATAAGTTTAAAAAGGTACATTCCTTTTTGAAGGGTTCACAAAACTGGCCTGCAGGCTAGCCACCTACTTTCATAAATAAAGCTTTATTGGAACATAGTCACACTCATTTCCTATGGCCGCTCTCACACTACAACAGCAGAGTTGAGTCATTGTGACAGAGACTATATGGCCTGTAAGGCAAAAGTGTTTACTATCTGACACTTGTAGATAAAGTTTGTCAACCCCTGACCTTGATAATTAAATAGATCCCTGAGAGGACCTGTAAACAATACTCCAATAGGAAATTAAAAGGACATACTGCCCACTCTTTGCCTTGTTTTCAATTCTTGAACAATTTTTCTTAAAAAGGTTAATAGGAGTGGAACATAACTTTTTTTGTTTGTTTGTTTGTTTGTTTTGAGACGGAGTTTCACTGTCACCCAGGCTGGAGTGCAGTGAAACCATCTTAGCTCACTGCAACCCCTGCCTCCCGGGTTCAAGCGATTCTCCTGCCTCAGCCCCCTGAGTAGCTGAGATTACAGGCTCGTGCAACCATACCCAGCTAATTTTTGTATTTTTTTTAGTAGAGATGGGGTTTCGCCATGTTGGCCAGGCAGGTCTTGAACTCCTTACCTCAGGTGATCTGCCCGCCTCGGCCTCCCAAAGTGCTGGGATTACAGGCACCCTGCCAAGTATAACTTTGTGATGCAAGATCCAAACCATAAGAATATAAACCTTAGAAATTACCCAAAAGCAGGAAAAAGCTTTGAACTTTCACAGACACTGGAATTGACTGAGCCATAATCCAATTATATTTGCAAGGGAAAAGATTGCTACAAATGTCATCTGGGCTCTATAGTAACTGTCTAGTACAGGCAGTATAGAGTCTATCAAATCTACACTTTTTCTTCTCTTTATAAAGCACAGTGATAATTGTTCACAGTAATAATCCCGGGCTGCAACACCATCCTGAAATCCAGCAGCATTTCATGAAAAGTAATCTAATCTTAGCATAGTTTCAGTAACAGCGAGTGTTCTCTTGGTCTGAATCTTACAGTAAAAATGACATGTAATTCATGTCCTGTGGCAGTGGTTTTCAATTTGCACTCTGTAAAGGAAGGTGGAAATGAAGTGGGGGAATCAACAATTGAAATTCCCAGTCCCTCCTCTCTTATTTTAATCCCAGGAGCTGCCTTTTACTAATTTAAGAAACCTAGTTTACACTTCAAACTAAGGTCTTTGTGAAGAGAATAAATTTTTCTTTTTTTAAAAAAAGCTGCCTAAAAATGCTGCTCAGTTGTCAAGAATATTCAATGAGAAGAGAGAAAATATGGAAACCCTATAACCACTGAAAGGATGCCATTAAAAGTACTTTAAAAAGCCATTAAAAGTACTATGAATTTTATTCTCATAAATTGAACTAATTGGAAGCAATAGACCAATGCTTCAAAAGCCACTGCTGTGGTCTAAATGTGTATGCGCCCCCATAATTTATACGTTGGAACTTAATCCCCAATGTGATATGCTAAGAGGTGAGACCTTTAGGAAGTATTTAGGTCAGGAGGGTGGTGCCCTTGTGAATGGAATTGGTACCCTATAAGAAGTTTGAGGGACCCTATTTGCCCCTTCCATCATGTGAAGATGCAGCAAGAAGGCACCATCTCTGAGTCAGAGAACAAGCCCTCACCAGACACCAAATCCGGTGGCATCTTAATCTTAAATTTTCCAGCCCCCAGAACTGCAAGAAATAAATTTCTGTTGAAAAACTGATGAATTTGACATTATCAGAATTTAAAACATTTGCTTTCTTAAAGTCCATGTGAAGAGGATGAAAAGATAAGTTACAGAGTGGAAAAAAATATTTGCAAGCCATGTAGCCACGTGTATTATATATTTTAAAATATATGAAAGAATTTACAAGAATAAACAGTTAAAAATAAATGGTAAAAAATTCAAACAATCCAATTAGAAAATGAGCAAAGAAGCCAGGTGTGGTGGCTCACGCCTGTAATCCCAGCACTTTGGGAGGCTGAGGTGGGTGGATCACTTGAGGTCAGGAGTTTGAGACCAGCCTGGCCAACATGGTGAAATCCTATCTCCATTAAAAATACAAAAAAAATCAACAGGCATGGTGGCGTGCCTGTGATCCCAGCTGCTCTGGAGGCTGAGGCAGGAGAATCACTTTAACCCGGGAGGCGGAGGTTGCAGTGAGCTGAGATCACGCCACTGCACTCCAGCCTGGGTGACAGAGTGAGACTCCATCTCAGAAAAAACAAAAAGAAAGAAAAGAAAAAGAAAGTGGCAAAAGACAGGAAGGTACATTCCAGAGAAGAGGATATACAGAGACAAATAAACACATAAAAAGATGTTTAGCAATCAGGAAGATGCAAATTAAAACCACGATGACATATCACTAAGTATTTCTCAGAATGGCTAAAATTAAAAACACTGAAAACACCAAATGCTGACAAGGTTGCAGAGAAACTGGATCACTCACACATTAATGAAGGGAATATAAAATGACACAGTCACAGTTTCACAGTTTCTTTAAAAGAAAAAAAAAAAGACAAAGCCAAGCATGTAATTACTATATGACCCAACAATTTCAGTCTTTAGCATTTATCCCATAGAAAAGAAAACGTTCACGCAAAACCCTGTACACAAATGTTCATAGAAGCTTTATTTATTATAGCCAAAAACTGGAAACCACCCATATGTCCTTCAACAGGCGAATGGTTAAACAAACCGAGGTATTCTACATATGTACCATGGAATATAGTACTCAGCAATAAAAAGGAACAGGCAATTTATATAGGCAGCAACTTGAATGAATCTCCAGGGAATTACACTGAAGGAAAAAAAAAAGATTCCTAAAATGTGACATACTGTATGATTTCATTCTCATAATACCTGTGAAATAACATAATTACAAGACATAGAACAGATTAGCGGCTGCCAGAGATTAGGGATTAGAGTTTGACCATAAAGGAGTAGCAGAAAGGCCCTTTACGGTAATGGTACAACTAAGTATCTTGATAATGATGGTGGCTACATGAAGCTATAGCTGTGATAACATTGAACACATTACACACACACACACACACACACACACACACACACACACACACACAAATGAGTGCATGTAGAACTGGAGAAATCAGAATAATCTCTGCAGATTTTTCCAATGTCACTTTACTTGTTCTGATATTGTACTACAGTTATGTAAGACATTCACATTGGGAGTTGCTGAGTAAAAAGTGCACATGGCCTTCTTGTACATTTCTTTGCAACTTACTATGGATCTAAAGTTATTTCACAATAAAAAGTTTAAAAAAAACAAACTGCCCAAAGATGAGGCTCAGTTTTCTAGAATATAGTAATTTAGCAAATACTCAAAATGTACCTCTTCTGGAAAGATAGAGATTTAATGTCATACAACTTATGAGACAGCTCTACTTACTATTTATCACTTACATCTACCATTTTCCTTATAGTTTTTTTAACTCCAGGATCAAATCTACATGTGCGTCTCAAAGTATTATTTTATATAGGATTGAGGCATTTTACATAATAAGTTTGTAATCTCTGCCTTCAGCCACTGCCTGCACTGAAAGTCAGGAGAATGCAGTGATTACAAGTGGGACTGTGGCCCTGCCACCCAGGGTGCAAATCTGGGCTATGCCACTTACTACCTGTGTGACATGGAGAAAGCCACTTCACTTCTGCTTCAACTCCTCAACTGTAAAATTGGTATAATAATAGTGTCTATCTCAAACTACTATTATACCAATGATTTAATGATCAAATGAGTTAATGCAAATACAGAGCATTGAAGAGTGCCTGGTACACTGCAAGTATTCAACAAAAGTTGGTACTGTTACTTACATTTTTGTTAACATTACTATAATGGGAATTTACTTTCTCTCAATAGTCCTTATTGGATGACAAGTGCAAAATAATGGGTCACCAGGAATCAAAGCCATAAATAAAACCACACATGATTCTCACACTGAAAATCCCTCACCTTCATATGGTATTTCTCTGTATGAGTCTACTGAGAAACATACAGTGTCTCAGGTAAGCAATCACTGTCAAGATTCCCTACCGAATCAGAAGTGGGAAACACCAGAAAAATCCTAGCAAAGAATAGGGCACTCAACTTCTGGACACTGATTGAATCTAAATCTCTTGATTTATGGGTGTTTGCCATGACCTATTTTTATGAAAGGATGGTTGCAACCTGGAATGGATATTTCCCTTCTGAAAAAAGTTAACAGTACCTTCTTCTCCCACCTTGTCACTTGATTAGTCACCATTATATGTTCCCAGTCAAAGCAATCAGGTGAACATAGCTAGTATAATTCCTGCAGCAGCTGGGATAGGACAAGAGAGTACCATAGGGTAAAACATTGGAGTATTATTAGAGAAAAAGTCTGCATCTCTTCCTCTTTAATTAATCCATGTATTAATTCATTCACAAGTCTTTTAAAAGTTCCTCTATGTGTCAGGCACTCTTCTGGGAGCTGGGAACACAGCAAAGAATAAGTAATGAGACAAGATCCCCATGCTCATGGAGCTCACAGCCTAGTGGGGAAGGCAGATAACACAGAATTACACTGCTATGTGGTGCCTTCCAGGAGAGGGGAAATACAGGCTGCTAAGTAGGCATGTAGGAGCGGCACCTTACCTAGGTCAGCGGCACAAGAGCGTGCTTCCAAAAGCAGTGAGATCTATGCTCACACCTGAGGGTAGAAGTTAGGGTGTTCGCTACAAGGTGAATTTTTTTTTTTTAATTAGAGAGGCTCCTGCTTTAAAAAACATAATAAAAATAAAAACATGCTGAAACACGAATAGGAAGGAACCAATAGAGAGAGTCAGGTTAAAAACTCAGAAGAAGCCAGATGAGGTGGCTCATGCCTGTAATCCCAGCACTTTGGGAGGCCAAGGGGGAAGGATTGCTTGAGCCCAGGAGTTTGAGACCAGCCTGAGCAACATGGTGAAACCTCATCTCTATGAAAAATACAAAAAATTAGCCATGTATGGTGGTGCACACCTGTAGTCCCAGTTACTCAGGAGGCTGAGGCAGGAGGATCACTTGAGCCCAGGAGGCAGAGGTTGCAGTAAGCCAAGATCCCGCCAGTGCACTCCAGCTTAGGCAACAGAGCAAGAGTCTGTCTCCAAAAAAAAAAAATCTCAGAAGAGAATCGGGGAAAACCAACAGACTAAGTTTCCCAAAAGAGAGGGAGGGGTCAGAGAAAAAGTAGAGATTAGCCTCAGAAGAGAGAGGAGGGAGGTTTTAAAGGGTCTGGGTGAGGGGTGAAAGACGGCAGCCTGCAGGAGTATCAAGGATTTCCCAGCAGCACCAGAGACACAGTTTGGGGCTGTAGACCACGAATAACTGAAAAAAAAGCTTTCCTTTTCCGCACTCCCCTGAAAAGCAAGGGGAGCTTGGACACTGTTTGCCTCTGTAATAAGGTATTCTTTAAAAACACCTTCCAGGCTAGGCGCAGTGGCTCACACCTGTAATCCCAACACTTTGGGAGGCTGAGGCCAGCAGATCGTCTGAGGTCAGGAGTTCGAGACCAGCCTGGCTAACATGGTGAAACCCCGTCTCTACTAAAAACACAAAAATTAGCTGGACATGGTGGCAGGCGTCTGTAATCCCAGCTACTCAGGAGGTTGAGGCGGGAGAATCACTTGAATCCAGGAGGCGGAGGTTGCAGTGAGCCAAGATTGTGCCATTGCACTCCAGGCTCGGTGACAAGAGTGAAACTCTGTCTCAAAAAAAAAAAAAAAAAAAAAAAACACCTTCCAGGGCTTCTGTACCAATGCATAAATAATGAGGAATTCAGAAAAAAAAAAAAAACCTGACACTTCTGAGAAATTTTGTTTTAAAGAAAAAGCCACTAATATATCATCTGACCTAAATATTTTAAAGGGAACTATAAAATGTGATGACTACAAGGCAGCTCATTTCCTGGTTGAGAACCAGAGAGAGGCTCCCCTTGCCCTGGGCCACACAACTCATCAGGGCAGTGGCTGAATACAAACCCTGGCTGCTCACTTCCAGCCTGGGATGCTCTCTATTTCACCATACGTTTAATTTTCTTCCATTAGATACTTCAAGAGATCATCTCACTTCCATTTTTTTTTCAAACTTGAATCACTGTTCTACTACACAACGTCAAAGCAACATTATGAGAAGTGCAAATCTAGTCAATCAGCCAGTTGCCTCACCCAGCCTAAGCAAGGTGCCGACCTGACTGTGGATTTTGGTGTCATGCAGACCCAGCCTAAGTGCAAGCCATCAGTGGCTCAGACACAGTCCCTATAAATTAAAGCACATATGTCATTTGTCTCCTCAAACTCCTGAGTGTCAGTATCACTGGATGAAGAAGGTGTGAGAAGGAGGAAAGGAAAAGTTCTCAAACTAGATCAAGAAAGAAGTCTGGAAAGGATAGACACTCCAGCTCCACCGAGGGGCTTTCTTCCCAAACCTGGAGAGGAAACATCTCGTTACTGAAATGTCCAAGTTCTCAGGCAACGATTCCAGCTCATCCTCTTCCTCTTCCTGTTTATTTCAGTCTTTCCAGGACAGATCAACAGGGAGAGGACAGGGCCAAGAGGTGCTCCTCCGTCTTACACCCTGAAGACAAGGCTTCATGAATAAAATCATCAACTTCCTGCCTAGTTTCTGGGCAAAGGGAATAGGACAGGGCTAGCACTAGCAATAAATAAATAAATAAGTGGAAAATAAGATTTTGCCCTTGCTCTTCACATATGTTTCCATTTCCTCACTGTGTCAGCACCCCACTTTGGGCACCCTCCAAGCACTTTCCTGTAACATTCTCATCTTATTTTTTCCTCTCCTGTTTCTCACATATGTTATGGACTGAATGTTTGTGTCCCTCCAAAATTCTATGTTGAAATCCTGATTTCCAAGGGATGGCATTATGAGGTGGGGCCTTTGAAAGGTGCATAGGTCATAAGGGTGGAGACTTTGTGAATGGAATTAGTGCCCTGTAAGAAGAGACACAATGAAGAATCATGGTGTGTAGTGTGAAATTTGAAACATAAAAAAAAGAAGAGACACAAGAGAGTTTACATCTTCTCTGTGTTCTCTGCCATGTGAAGATATGAGAAGATGGCCATCTGCAAGCCAGGAGGAGGGCCCTCACCAGACACTGGATCTGCCTGCACCTTGATCTTAAGACTTCCCAGCCTCCAGAACCATGAGAAATAAATGTTTGTTGTTTAAGCCACCCAGTCTATGGCATTCTGTTCTTGCAGTCTGAACTGATTAACAATATCCAAATCAAAGCCCTGCCTCTCAATGGACATGAATAGACAATTCTCAAAAGAAGATATACAAATGACCAACAAACACAAGAAAAAATGCTCAACAACACTAATTATCAGGGAAATGCAAATCAAAACCACAATGCGATACCACCTTACTCCTGCAAGAATAGCCGTAATTTAAAAATAAAAAAATAACAGATGTTGGCGTGGATGTGGTGAAAATGGAACACTTTTACACGGCTGGTGGTTCTCCACTATGGAGAACAGTATGGAGATTCCTTAAAGAACTAAAAGTAGAACTACTGCTTGATCCAGCACCCCACTCCTGGGTATCTACCCAAAGGAAGTCATTATATGAAAAAGACACTTACACACACATGTTCACAGAAGCACAATATGTAAATACAAAATTATGGAACCAGCCTAAATGCCGTCAATCAACAAGTGTATAAAGGAAATGTGGTGTGTGTGTGTGTGTGTGTGTGTGTGTGTGTGTGTTTAATGGAAAACTACTAAGCTATAAAAAGGAACAAAAGAATGGCATTTGCAGGAACCTGGATGGAGTTGGAGACCATTATTCTAAGTGAAGCAACTCAGGAATGGAAAACCAAACATTGTATGTTCTCACGTATAAGCAGGAGCTAAGCTATGAGGACGCAAAGGCATAAGAATGATACAATAGACTGAGTACTCAGGGGGAAGGGTGGGAGGGGCTGAGGGATAAAAGACTGCACATGGAGTACACTGTACACTGCTCAGGTGATGGGTGCACCAAAATCTCAGAAATCACCACTGAAGAATTTTTCCATGCAACCAAACATCACCTGTTCCCCCAAAACTATTGAAACAAAAAATAAATATTTAAAAGTGTATATGAGCAACATCATACCAATCAAAAAAAAAAAAAAAGCTCTGCCTCTCCATGTATTACATCCAAGCCAAGCAGTAAGTGAAAGCAGTATGATCACACTCTTTTACATGTGTTGTTACCTTATTTGGGATGCAGTTTTGCACACTGGTTGTGCTTACACTTTCAGAGTTAGGCCTGGTCCAAGTCCTGGCTGTATACTTGCTACCTTTGTGACCACAGGCAAGTGACTCAATTTCCTCACTAGTAAATGGGAGATATAAGGATATCTGCCTCATATGAGTGTTATGAGAACTAAAGGAGATAATTTGTGTAAGTGCTTGAAAGAGTGTCTGGCTCATGAGAAATGCCCAGTAAATGGTACTAGTATTATTTCTGATTCTTACCATATGCCTGTACCACAGACAGGGTTTTAAAGCACCATTTTTTTAACTTTTACTTTAGCTTCAGGGGTACATGTGAAGGTTTGTTACACAGGTAAACTCATGTCATGGGGCTTTGTTGTACAAATTATTTCATCGCCCAGTTATTAAGCCCAGTACCAAATAGTTATCCTTTCTGCTCCTCTCCCTCCTCCCATCCTCCACCCTCAAGTAGACCCCAGGGACTGCTGTTTCCTTCTTTATGTTTGTAAGTTATTATCAGTTTAGCTCCCTCTTAGAAGTGAGAATATGCAGTATTTTAAACCACTGTTTTATATAGCAGTGGTGTAATTTGCCCAAGGTCACAAAAGGAGACCTTGTATCCTATTATTTCTATCCAAACCCTCTATTGATACCCCTTTAATCCTCCTCCAGCATTTAAAAATAGCAAAATGACAGTAACAGTGATGATAATAGCTAACACTATGCTAAATGAGAAAATTGAGGCACAGAGGGGTAAGTATTTAGCCAAATCACCCAGCTAATAAGTGGCATAGTCAAAAACTAAACCTATACCCAGAAATGATGGAGTGTGCCTGTAGTCCCAGCTACTCAGGAAGCTGAACAGGGAGGATCGCTTGAGCCCAGGAGGCTGCAGTGAGCTATGATAATTCCACTGCACTCCAGCCTGGGAAACAGAGTGATAACTCCACTCTAAAAAAGAAAAAAAAAACCTGATTAATCTGGGACCACAGTCCAGGCTCTTAATTATCACTCTGTAAAAGCAATACTCTTTCATCCACTCATTGCTATACACAATCCTTAGACCTATTATTTTCCAGACATTGTTGTAGGTTTGGAAACAATAGGATGTAGAAAATAGTCTTTGGCATCCAGTAGTACACAATCTAGTGAAGACAAATCACTGTACTATCTGACAAATGCTGTTTTAGTGGCAAGAAGAAGGTGCCTGCAAACCACGAGCAACTAACAGTGCCTGGCCCAATCAACGAAAGCTTCATGCAGGAGGTACCCTCTGAAGAAAGCCTTGTCTCAAGGTCAAGGAGAGAGAGGGATACTCCAGGCAAAAAGAACATCATGTGTAAAACTTTGGAATTCAAATATGTGCAGATGTATTGGGGCCAATGAGAAGTTCAGTGTGGATAGATTATATAAGGTACATAAAGGACAATAGGAGAAAAAGCTGGAGAAATGGGCAGAAATTACAATGAAGAGGACCTTCTACGCCAAACCAAGAAGTACAAATTTTATCCTACAGGTGAGGGAGAGGAAAAACAAGTTTTAGAGCCTGTTTTAGCCTTCCACCAAGTTCAGGTACTATGATTTGATCATTTTAAGGACAATAACCCTGGAAGATGATAGACTGGGATAGGGACACATTGTTGTCAGGAAAGACAATTTAAAAAATTGTTATAAGAAAGACATTTCTAAATCATTAGAATAACCAGGAAAAGTGGTTTGTATATCTGGTTTCTTAGGCCCCACCCAAGACCAAGTGAGTCAAAATCAACAACGTAGACTTGAGGAATCTGTGTATGTGTTTGTAAGTGTGTAGGCAGAATGCTAGCAGTGTGTGTGTGTGTGTGTGTGTGTGTGTGTGTGTGTGTGTGTTTATGTTACTCTCAAGCTGATTCTGAAGACGAGCGCCTAGTTTGGGAACCAATGTTCTTAAAAGAGATCCAACCCTGTCTCTACTAAAAATACAAAAAATTAGCCGGGCGTGGTGGCAGGCGCCTGTAGTCCCAGCTACTCGGGAGGGTGAGGCAGGAGAATGGCGTGAACCCGGGAGGCGGAGCTTGCAGTGAACGGAGATCGCTCCACTGCACGCCAGCCTGGGCAACAGAGCGAGACTCTGTCTCAAAAAAAAAAAAAAAAAAAAAAGAGATCCAGTGGGTGTCAGAACCCAGATAGTAGCAGGGAGAATAAAGACTGGAAAAGACACAATTCTGAATTAAAATCATTAGGATTTGGCAGAGTATACTTGATGCAGTATCCTCTCATGTGAGTCCCAAGAAATAAAAAGGGGTTGCCATTGGGACCCAAAGTAAGACAAGAAGGAGCAGACAATCAACATGTTATCCCTAAATTCTAGTGGCATATATTAAACTCTAATGGCACATAATAAAGATTTACATTTATATATCAGAAAAAATATTGCTCTGCCCTAGCTAACACTACCTCACTCACTTCTCTGTCCTTCCTCTCCCTTCTCCACTGAAATTCCAAATGAACATCCCTAATAAAACCTAAATCTTGTCACTGAAATATCACTACCACTGTTAGAACTTTTTTTTCAAGTCCGTCAATTTAAAAACTTTGGATTGTAAGAAATGTATTGTCCCCAGTAAATTAGCTACTTACTATTCCCTGACCTATTTTTCCTATCACAGTCTCATTTGATTATTCGAGAGAACAAGTCTATTTTCCTTCTTTGGCAAGCAGACGAGGAAGGTGGGATGGAAGTTATATTAAGAAAAAAGTAAGTGCACTATAGTGCATACTTGAAAGCCTTTCTGCGATAAAAGGACGGAACTTAGCCCAGGAAAGTCACCGTGTCAAGCTTAAATGCTTTCTCTACCGATGTGCTTTAGGGGAAAAAAAACACATAACCTGGAAAGCTGGACAGGCAATTATATTACTGACAGAGAGTTTTATGAGACAATATCAGAGGGGAAGTACAATGAGTGTCAAACCACAGACTGCACAGAAAAGGGGGGAAAATGGGATCGTAGAAACAGGAACAAATAAAGTTGGCAATGGAGAGGGCATTAGTTTAATTGCTTCACCTTTCCTTGCTACAGCATTTGTAATTGGAGCAAAATGTCCCCTCTGTTCTCCTCAAGGCACCTGGAGCTCACCAAGAGGACAGGGATGCTGGAGATGACGGCAGGCAGGAGAGAGAGGCGAACCCCAAGGGAAGTCAGGACTAGACAGCAACGGGTCACCTCGAGTGTATAACCCCTCAAATGATGTATTTCAGCCTTCCTCTGAGCCCAAAATGGCAGGTGGCAAAGCTTTGACCCCAAAAGAAAACAATTTGCAATGTTTGCGCTGGTAGGAGAATTCATGGAAGAATGGTTCCTTTTTCTTCATGCTTTGTAAGCACCAGTAGAGGTCACTGGGAATAGACACAGGGGAAAAGAAAGTTTGTGTTTAGTGGGCAGCTCAGTCCAATGGAGCCTTGGGGACTTGGAGGCTGCGAATTCTAATTCTGGCTCTGCTCCTGATTTCCTGTGGGATCTTGAAAGAATCCACTTAATATCTTAGAGCTACAATTTCCTTCTCAGGAGAGGTGGGCCTTAATCTTATCAATAATTGATTATGAAGCATCGATTTCATTCACTCCCTAGACCAGCATTATCACATGCAGTTGTTCCCAATGGTAGTAAATTAAAATGTTTGTAAGTACAATTATTAATAAACCAGAAAAATCTAAAGTATTAACAGGGGGTAGATACATGTTTTACTTAAATCTATCCTTAAAAGAGTGACTTTTTTTTCCAAAATAATAAAGTAGCAAGGGAAATGAAATGTCAAAGCTTTTTGAAAAACCATCAAGTGTTGTTCAAATGCAGGGCTTTATCACTGATATTAATAAATTTTAAAAATGTGATGTGTTAAATCCTGAAGGTGCATGCTACTCCCGTCCTCCCACTGTGACTTTCATTTATTCCATCTGTATTTTTCAAGTACCTTTCTTGTGCCTGGCATTAACCAGACACTAGGAATACAAAAGTGAGCTGTAGCCAGACATAAAATGGCAAATAATGTATGATTCCACTTACAGTAAGTATCTAGAATAGGCAAATTCATAGTGACAAAGTAGAACAGAGGCTACTAGGGACTGAGGGGAGGGAAAATGGGGAGTTGTTCTTTAATGGTTACAAAGCTCTGTTTCAGGTGATAAAGAATTGTGGAACTAGATAGTGGTGATGGTTACACAACATTGTATACGTACTTAAGGCCACTAAATTGTACACTTAAAATGGTTAAAATGATAAATTTTATGTCATGTATATTTTATCACAATGTTTTCAAAAATGAGTTGAAACAAAAATAAGTGAAATGAGCATGTTTTTTCTTCCTCCTGCCAAACAGGACCCTGTCTCCCAGTGAAATAAAAATTTAAAAAAAAAAAAAACAAAAAACAAAAACTCTGCTGATATGGATCCTGTTGCTTTCTGCTCCCCAGGAAGCTTCTTCAAGGTTCTTTATCATCTCGCATTCTGACACTAAGAATGTATTCGATTCATGGTTATTTCCACAATATTGAGTATTATCAAACTTTCATTATCTTGGATGTTCACTGAAACTCTCTTCCCACAGCTGAGTAAATATTCTTCCAACAGGAAGCCTAACAGATGAATTGTCTTGGCTCTGAAATGTATTTTCACGTCAGAACTCAGACAAGTGTGACAATTTCTTCCTCTAAGCTCCTCTTTTGAATAGTTTAGCATGGCTGAAGGCTTTACCACCTTCCCTCACCTTCAGGATATTCTTTTCCAAACACAACTTGCCATTACTAAAGACCATCTCCTCCCAGGAGAGAGAGCAATGCCCTGGCCTAGAAAGGGGAGGCAGTTTCAGTTGGAGAATCAAGCAATACACTCAAGAAAGCTGAATTCTGCTTTCAGTTCTGTTCCCAGTTTAATCATAAGATCAAAGCATACCCTTCCAATTCTTCTCTAGGTAAAAGGAGAGATTATAACACCTCCTAAAAAAAACTCACTATAATTTAATAACCCAATTTCTAAGAAAACACATTATGAAAAAGACTTAAGCAGAGCAAAATTATTTGGGTCTTTAAGGAATTAAATCATTTTGGTTGGGATCCAAGACCAACCCAATTTATATTAAATTAAAGTTATTACTGTTATAGTCAAGTTGTTGAGTGTAGGATTCATTTGGCATAGTATTCACTGATGTGTTTGTTGTACTACTATAAGAATGTAATTAGGCTTATTTATATATGTCAGCCTTGTCACTCACCTTAAATTTCATCTTCAGTTGCTCACCAAGTTGACTAATTTGCCATTCTTTAAATTCATGCCTCATTCTAAATGAGGTTTTCCAACCTCATCTCTAGTGACATCTTGAACTAGATGATTCAGGTAATTTATTGTTATGAGAGCCCGTCTTGTGCATTGCAGGACGTTTAGCAGCATCTCTGCTCACTACACCCCTCTCCAAATGTTATAATAAACAAAAATGTCTTTTTTTTTTTTTTTTTGAGAAAGAGTCTTGCTTTGTCACCCAGGCTGGAGTGCAGTGGCATGATCTCGGTTCACTGCAACCTTCGCCTCCCAGGTTCAAGTGATTCTCTTGCCTAAGCCCCTGGAGTAGCTGGGATCATAG
Source organism: Homo sapiens (assembly GCF_000001405.40). NCBI lineage: Eukaryota > Metazoa > Chordata > Mammalia > Primates > Hominidae > Homo > Homo sapiens. Next base: position 83,678,459 of record NC_000004.12, on the reverse strand, counting down.
GTGCGTGCCACCATGCCTGGCTAATTTTTGTATTTTTAGTACAGACCGTGTTTCCCCACGTTAACCAGGCTGGTCTCGAACTCCTGACCTCAAGTGATCCACCTGCCTCAGCCTCCCAAACTGCTGGGATTACAGGCACGAGCCACCGCACCCAGCCAAAAATGTCTTTAGACATTGCCAAATGTCCCCAGGGAAGAAAATTCCACTCCCTCTCCCACCCAGTACGGTTAAGAACCACCTCCACAGACTTTGTTTCTAGTGGTGTATTATAACTAACATTGAATAACTACTCCTGTCAACAGCATCATCCATCCCTTCAGAACTCCTACATGGCCACAGTTTGTCTCACCTCCGTCTTTCAGAATGCCTCCTTTGCTCTGAGGAGTAGGGTAATTCTTGTCCAAAAATATCTTCTACTGCATAGCCCTAGTGTGAGAGTCTGAAAAGTATCTGAAAGATAGTCGGTCTCTTAAAAGCTTCATCATTACTGAAAATCGCAAGCTGGAAATGCTTAAATAAGTTTTGAGGTAGGGCTTGTAGATGAGATTCAGATAAAAATCAAAACTGATTAGAAACAGTCACCACAACTCAAAAGGAATCTTACTAAAATCCTTTTAGAAAACTCAGAAACAGAAAAACAAAAAGTTGTGTAATCTTTTCAGAAACACCCACTCACTTCACATTGTTTTAATTCAAACTCAGTGAGAACTAAAGAGCAGAGAAATATTCCCTGTGTGTCAGATCCTATATTGTAACTCTCTTGAACTTTTCTAGCAAAAAAAATGGATTCTTTTCATAAACCGTTCCAGACTCTATGTGGCAAATGTGTCTAATTCAGTGTGATTGGAAACATTTTCCACAAACTTTCTCCCTGACCCTAAGATCAGCTTCATAAATCTCAGATGGTCCTTGAGAGACTACAATGTGATTTGAAATATTGGAAAACTTGAGATTTCAGGAAACTGATGTAAACTGTTTGATGTTTACCCCTCACTTTCAAATTTCCCAGACTCTCTAATGAGCCTTTTGGGGTGTTTCTTCCAATCGATTGCCAAGGTAAACATGGGTACATTTGAGAAAGAAAAGGAGGAAAAATATTTCCACAATTCTGAGTACTTTCTACCTCTACAACTGGATTGGTCCTGCAAAGGAGGAAAAAATCCTTTTTCTTGGATAGTAAGATAAATCTCCTACTTTTAAATACCATAAGCATGACCTGAGGAAGTACAACTTTTAAGTATTAACAATTTCATAAATTCCTTTATTCAGTCAATAAGTATCCTTTGTGTTTTCCAAGGTAAGAGCCAGGCAGACAAAAGTCCAGGAACTAAAATTTCAATTCTTTGGTCTCAACTACCTATCAAAAGGCATTAGTGAACAGGAGCTGAAACTGTGTGCTTAAGCCCAGATATGTATTGTTAAGTGTGACATGCTCAATTTATCATTAGTTATGAAGTGAAAACGGATGAATACACATTCAATTTAGTTCAGCTGCTTTCTTCATTTATCACACTCTTTCATCATCCATCATCTTCCCCCACCCTTTTGATTTGAACAAATAACACACTTTCATAAGTTTAATCTAATTAATCATGATTGTAAGGTAATGTTCTCTTAATGAACCATACATCTGATTTTATAAAGTTTGTTGCAATTTTAATAAAATGTGTTCCAGATAGAATCTACAAATGTTCTCTTTGAAGCCCAACCACCTAATCATTCCTCCTCCTAATTCATGTTTCTCAACTCGGCGTGGAGGTACGTGCACACACACACAAACACAAACACAGCCTTCTTTTAGGGTTGATGAAGATATACAATACTGAGAGTCATTGGAGCATACTGGTCTTCTATAGAACAACTGTTTCAGTACATTGCAGAGTGTTCAGCATTTTATGAGGTAAGATAGGAAGTTAAGAAAGTAGAAGAATGGAGAAAAGAGTAATGAAGGATGGAAAGGATTGGTCTTGCATTATTATTATGAATGTGAAGTCAGACGTAGATGGTAACTACAAAGTTTAGGACAGAAATATAAAGAAGAAATTGTCATTTGTGAGTAGTAAATTATGCTACAAATCCCAAAATCTTCTCTTTCTAATAAAATTCAAAAGAGAAGCTCATAGGAGAGATGACAGCCTAAAAACTGCTGCCATCACATGTCATTCCCTATATTGGAGGAGAGGGAATTAGAGGTTCCTTAATCTGAACCAGTGTGAGCTTTGGTTTAGGGGACAGAGGATCAGAGAATACTTAAAAACGGAAGAAACATGAGACCCCTTTTGTTAAAACCCCTCACTTTAACAACAAGAAGACTGAAGTCCTCAGAGGCTGAGGAACTTGCCCAAGGTCACAGAGGTAGGCAGTAGTAAAATCAAAGAAAGAACGCAAGGCTACCGACTGGCATTCTAGCACTGTTTCCCAGCTGATCTTGCCTTCCCCTCCACAGCACAGAACCCTCACAAGCCTGTGCCCTGTTTGATACCACTTTCATTTTGTATGAAAAAAAAAAATTGGCATGTTTTAGAAAGAAAAATAGGATCTCTTTAGTGCCTAGACCATAATATTAATATAAAGTAGCAATCTTCTAGCATTTTATAAGTCAAGTGTCACACTGACACTATCCTTACACTGACACTGCTCCTTACAGTCTTTCTCATGGGTACCTGGTGTGCTTCTCCTTTGCAATCTCATTAGTGACACTGGTACCATTTGCCCTAGCTCTTTCTTTGTTTCTGTGTTCTCAGCCCGAGATTTTTCTTAAATGCCCTTTCTTCATGTGGCGGCAAGACGATGGCCAAACTGAAGAATCAATTAACATAGACATAAAGAACAGGGCCTGGATTCGTCATTCCCTTGCTTTATGGTGTAAGGGCTGAAACCATCCGAGAGTCCTGACATCCACCTTGGCAAAATGCTTCTCTGGCCTAACACTGATTACAATTTTATTCATTGTCTACTTTGGAGCAGATCTCATTAGAGATCAATGCGTAACAAATGATCACACACTCACAAACAAAAACGCACAACCAAGTTGATTCATTTTTAAATGAAAAAAAATTGCTGATACCAGTCCTCTCATACACTGCTGGCAGAAATGTAAACTGGCAGCAATCAGGCAGAGCAGAGGGGCAATTTAGCCGTATCCATCAAAATCTTTACATTTTTGCAGACCCTTTGATAGAAAAATTCCAATTCCAGTCATTTGTTCTAAGTAAATGATCAATGTATCACAGTTAGAAAGTTTGGAACATCACTAAACAAAATGTTATTGGCTATTTTAAACAATATTGTAGGCTGGGCGTGGTGGCTCACACCTGTAATCCCAGCACTTTGGGAGGCAAGGCTGGCGGATCACCTGATGTCAGGAGTTTGAGACCAGCCTGGCCAACACGGCGAAACCCTGTCTCTACTAAAAACACAAAAATTAACCGGGCGTGGTGGTAGGCAGCTGTAATCCCAACTACTCGGGAGGCTGAGGCAGGAGAAGCGCTTGAACCCAGGAGGCAGAGGTTTCAGTGAGCTAAGATCACGCCACTGCAATCCAGCCTGGATGACAAAGCAAGATATTCATAATACATTAGGTTAAAGAGGCAGGTTAGAAAACAGTCTTGAAATATCATCGCTTTTTTTTTTTTGAGACAGGGTCTCACTCTCTCGCCCAGCCTACAACAGTGGCGCGATCTCGGCTCACTACAACCTCCACATCCCAGGCTCAAGTGATTCTCCTGCCTCAGCTTCCTGAGTAAGTGGGATTACAGGTGTGTGCCACTTTATCTCATTTTTTTTAATGAGAATATACTGCTCATTAAAATTATATTCTCATTAATGAGAATATAATGAGTATATTTTTTATGAATATACTGCTTTAATGAATAGATTGGATAAATATACACTAAAATCTTAGCATTAACTATCTTCATGTGGAAGAATTATGAACATTTTAATTCATTAACTGTGTAAGTTAATTTATCACTACTTCTGAAAGCAAGGCTTGGCCTATTTTATTTACTGTTATATTTCCAATGTGTTGTATGTACCTAGAGAGTAAATAGTAACAGCTCAGTAGATATCTTTTAAATGAATAGTTGAATGAAAGTGATTTTTATTTGCTTTATGCTCATTTATACTTTCTAAACTTTCTACAGTGATTATGTACTTCTTTGCAATCAGAAAAGAAACAATAAGGAGATCTGTATTGTTGTTGTTCCCAGTGCCTGTTGTTACTTCATTCAGAAGTCTGAAATTTGATATGCTTTCCTAAGAAATAGTCCCAACTAATGTCCTACGGAAACTAGCGAAAACTCCATTCATCTAAGAAAGCAGTGGAAATAGATAAGAAACTTACACATTGCAAGTCAGATATCTGCACTGGTAAGAATGCTTTAAGGTGTCTTTCTTTCAGTCAATAGTTAATTGAACAGCTACTGTGTACCAGGCATTTTAAAGTTCCTTGGGATGGGGGGAGGATATGAATACAGTGAGCATAGAGTGAAAAGGAACCTCCTTGCCTCCAAGAAAATTACAAATTTTACTGGAAAAACAGATCACATAAGCATGTAATTTCGTATAAAACAGAATGAAATGCGATACAACAGAGCTATAAGTTAAATGCTGTGAAAGCAGGGAGAGGAGGGATTAAATGCAACTGGGGTGGGGGCAGGTCAGAGGAGGCTTCAAAGAGGGGCTGATACCCTTAAAAGATCCATAGTTGAATTTTGATAGATGGAGAAGCGGGAGGTCTTTTCTACATTTAACCTTGAATTAGAATAAAACTAATTCCCAATAGCCTGGCATTTAATCACTGCAGAATCAAAAGGCCAGGCAGACTCACTAAAACATTCAGGGACAGACTTTTTTCTAACCTAGAGGGCATGCAGCAGCAACAACAAATTACAAACTTTGCCCTGGAGTTGGATGCTTGTCCAGGGCTCACCTGCCCAGCCTGCAGAGGAGCAGTGACAGTTTCTGGGCATTCAATTTATTTTTCTCCAAAGCATTCATCACCACCTGACTAGCATATCATTAGGTGTTTGTTTATTGTCCATCTCTCCTCACTAGAATGAAAGCTTCAAAAAGGCAGGGGTTTTTGTCTGTTTTGTTCACCACTCTATCCCCAGCACCTGGAGCAGTGCCTAGAGTATTGCAGGCATTCATTAAATATTTGTTAAATAAATGAATACCTTGTGGTAATAGGGTGGCACATGAAAGGTATAATGCACTCTGGAGAAACATCATCACCACCGTCTCTACCAGACCCGGCTAAAGGGCCAAGCCCCTGAATCCAAGATGCATGCCCCCTGTCATGCTGGCAGATTCAGGGCACTTCATAGGATGAAACTTTCAGAAGCTCCAAAGATCATTACCCTAGAAAAGATGGTACAAGGTCTGGTTCAAATCCCTCAGAAAACCCATCAAATACATTTCATTTCCTCATTCATTCCTCCAGACTTCATTTGACAAACATTTGCTGATTCTTGTCCTATTTAAAGTATTGCTATATAATAAAGAATTTGTCCCAGATTCCTGGAAGAGAGCTTAGGGTTTCCTAAGTGGTAGAAGAGTCTGTGTCCTTGGACCACCCCTGAGTTTATGCTAAGGAGATGACTCAAGATAGGTACTGATCATGCCAGAAAGACTAACCATGTGACTAGAAGTTGGGGCTTTGAGCCGGGTCCTATCAGCCCAATCTCTGGGAATTAGAGACTGAGTCCAACCACAGGACCAATAATTAAATCAATGAAACTCCAATTAAAAACTCTGGAAACTGAAGCATGGGTGAGCTTCCTGGTTGGTAAACACATCAATCTGCTGGGAGAGTGATCTGTCCTGATTCCACATGGAAGCTCTTTGTCCAGGAGCCTTCTAGACCTGGCCTTGTGTGTATCCTTCATAATAAAACCATAATTATAAGTACAATGCTATCCTGAGTTCTATGAGTTGTTCTAGTGAATTATTACACCTGAAAGGGTCATGGGATCCCCCAAATTTGGAGCCAGTTGATCAAAAGCACAAATGACCAAAGGACCCCAAAATTTGCAGCTGCCATCTAAAGTGAAGGCAGTCTTATCGGGTACTGTGCCCTCAACCTGTGAAATCTGCACTGACTCTGGGCAGTTAGCATCAGAATTGCATTGCAGTGTTGCAAGTTTTGGGCTCAGTTTCACATCTATAAAATGGAGGCACTATCTACCATGTAGGGTTATAGTGAAAATTAAGTTAAACATTACTTTTGCACAACAATCAAAACACAGCCCAGAAATTGATGTTGTTATGCTGAACAATGATATATATAGTATTATGGATTATGAGCTGGGAGAACAATTCTAACATTAATCTCCTAGATGAAATCTTAGGCAGTTACTTATAGTTCAGGAGTCGCAGCTTTCTTATCTGTAAAGTGGGCATGACAACCCATGCCCACACGCCTTAGAAGGTTGTTGTAAAGGAAATGAAAGCTTTTTGAAAAGTGTGCTAATTATCAGCATAGGTTGCTATTATAATACATCCCAAGGAACTACTGAACTAAAGTCTATTATAAAAAAATAGTTATTACATGTCTTATCCACTCATAAAGCCTTTCCTATTCCCTGGTCAAAATTAATAACATGTATTAGAGGTCAAAAGATAAAACTGAAATTGCATTTTTTGAGAACTTAGCAAAAAGGAGCTTGGACAATTTGAGAAAAAAATGAGTGAGTCCTAGAGCACTTGTCTCCTTTGCTAGAATATTTAGATAGAGTTTTCAAGAAAAACTAGAAAATGGGATTAATAACAAGGATATGCTAAATAATCAAAAATTTACTCCTAATCCTATATAATTACATAATGCATCACTGTTTAGTTTCACACTAAGTATACTCTTCTTAGTCTTCCAACAATGCTACAAAGCTTTTAAAATATGATGCTGTAGATTCAAAAATGCTAATAGACTGGGCACAGTAGCTCACACCTGTAATCCCAGCACTTTGGGAGGCCAAGGCAGGCGGGTCATGAGGTCAGGAGTTTGAGACCAGCCTGCCCAACATGGTGAAACCCCGTCTCTACTAAAAATGCAAAAATTAGCTGGGTGTGGTGGTGGGCACTTGTAATTCCAGATACTCGGGAGGCTGAGGCAGGAGAATTGTTTGAACCTGGGAGGCAGGGGTTGCAGTGAGCCGAGATCGCACCGTTGCACTCCAGCCTGGGAGACAGCACGAGACTCTGCCTCAAAAAAAAAAAAAAGGCTAATAATTTGCCCAAGGTAGCAGAGCTAGCAAGCACCACCTGCAAACAGCTTCATCATGGACAAAAACAGCTTATATTTGCTTAGTGCTTACTGTGGGTCAGATACCACTCTATATATTTAACTTGCTTAATTCATCTAATCTTCCCCCAAACCCTAGAAGCTAATACTGTTGCCTAATTTAAGAAACCTGAAGAAGAGAAACTTTGGAAACTTCTTTAAGTCACACAGGTACACAATAAATAATAAAACTAGGACTCAAACCCAGAGAAACATACTCCTTACCTGCGACTAACTCCAACAGTAAAATGATTATAATCATATCTACCTTCAGGGTTATTGTGAGGATTTTAAAAGAAGGTGTATGCAAAAGTGCTGAATTCCATGTCTGGCACATGACAGATCCTAAGAAATGTTTGTTGGATCTGCTCTTGAAGAGCCAGATCTGATTCCTCGCCAGGTTGTTTTTCTGGCACTATGCCACACTGCATCTTAGGGGGTACATGAGGTTCTAAGCTTCTAAGAAATATTTACTAAAATGGTAGAAAAATCACTAAATTAAAATGTAATCAGAACCTCTGATAAAACCTTAGGCCAAAATCAGCTAAAAGTATAGTGCTTGAGAGGTATGTGGTGTAGTGCATAGCCACAAACATGAGTGAAAGTCAACCTCTTGAGGCAAAATGATGTTACCTAGTTGTGGTCCTATCACTCCAGGATATCTGGTCACCTCAGGGTTAAGGCAGCTTTATAATCTCCCTTCTCAATAAAATATTCCAAAGTAAAGTAATATAGACTTCCTATGGATTTAATAATAAAGGAAAAAAATATATTCAAGAATCAAAATTTATTTGCAAGTGTATCCCCTACGACAATGCCTAGAATATAGAAGATACTCAATGTATTAGTCAGGGCTCTCTTAGAGGGACAGAACTAATATAATATATATATGAAGGGGAGTTTATTAAGTATAAAATTACACGATCACAAGGTCCCACAATAGGCTGTCTGTAGCCTAAGGAGCAAGGAGAGCCAGTGCGAGTCCCAAAACTGAAGAATTTGGAGTCTGATGATAGAGGGTAGGAAGCATGCAGCACTGGAGAAAGACGTAGGCTGAGAGGCTAGGCCTGTCTCATCCCTTCACGTTTTTCTGCCTACTTTATATTCACTGGTGTCTGATTAGATGGTGCCCATCCGATAAAGGGTGGGTCTGCCTTCCCCAGCCCACTGACTCAAACGTTGATCTCCTTTGGCAACACCCTTACAGACACACCCAGGATCAATATTGCATCCTTCAATCCAATCAAGTTGACGCTCAGTATTAACCATCACACTCAGTCTAGGTTGAGCTGAATGAATGAATGATACAGACAAAATTACCATCCTTTATAACTCTCTACTAATATTCCTCCTTATATGAAAAATGGCTGGGTTTTTTTAAAGGGTAGACTAATTTTTTAAAACTTCTTAATTCTTTGATATTAAGAAATGTAGCATTTAAATGAGTTGCAACACATGGTCATCAGTACAAAATAACTATAAACATATTAGTAGTTCCAATATCTAAGAAAAATATATTATCTTTATTTTTGGTCCACGTGCTGATTTTCTCAGCAAGAGGTCCGGTTACAAAAATTGGGGAGTTTTATATAGTACTATGCCTAAGTATTCAAAAGTATTCAAAGTATTTTTGAGTCTGTAATAAGTCTGCAGTTTTATTTACTCCCACTAGTCTAGTCTAGACATTGTCACTATATAAGTCAGCATCACTTTTGTTTTGAAATCTGGAAATATGAACATAACCAATTTTGACAATGGTTATTTCTGGACAGTGGAATTTGTGATTATCTAACCCTTTTATTTTGTATTTTTTTGTTTTTCTGGAATTTTATGATAAGCATGTTTTTTTTGAGACAGAGTCTCTCTCGCTTTGTCGCCCAGGCTAGAGTGCAGTGGTGCAATCTCCACTCATTGCAACCTCCACCTCCCAGGTTAAAACTATTCTCCTGCTTCAGCCTCCCGAGTAGCTGGGATTACAGGCATGTGCCACCATGCCTGGCTAATTTTTGTATTTTTTTAGTAGAGACAGGGTTTCACTATGTTGGCCAGGCTGGTCTCGAACTCCTGGCCACAAATGATCCACCTGCCTTGGCCTCCCAAAGTGCTGGGATTACAGGCATGAGCCACCACACCCGGCCTTCATTTGTATAAAAACAATAAATTCATTATTTTTAGTATCTCCCTAACAGGGCTACCATTTATTCAATCACTCAAAAATTATTCCCTAAGCATCTACTATATGTGAGGATTTTGTTAGACACTCTATATCTAACAAAGATGAATAAAACAAGGCCCCAGTTCTTAAGGGGCTTGCAGGGTAGTGGAAAGAAGGCAGAGCTGTTAAGACAATAAGATTACTAATGTGTTATAGATACCCAAGAGCAAAATGTACAGAGCTCAGTGGGGAAGAGGGTACAGAAGAAGGAAGATCAATCTATCTGGCAGAAGAGGATGAGAAAAGCTTCCTGGAAGATGTGACCCTTCACACAGAACAAAGGCTACACCTATGTATCCTCTGCAAGCTCCAATTTTTATAAATTCATCCATTCTGTAAATAGGCTATATTTCATCTGAAGAGCCTATAGAATAACTTTGGCCTGTAAATCAGTTAAGATTCCAAATCCATGTGATTCCAAATTGAAGAAAGGACTCAGGAACCACCAATTGGCTTATGATGATATCCTAGGTTCTACACCATCACCCAAAGAAGCTGGTGGGAAGCAGATGTGAGGAGGCATAGTTAGTGAAAAATTGTTAGGAGAAAATGAAGAAACTTTGTATTTCATTCTCCTCAAATAAATCAATTACCAAAAGAAAAGTCTCAGTCAAAAACTGAAGATGGCTAAGATTTTAGTCTACCAAGTGATAAAGAACTGTGCAATGAACAACACACAAGTCATGTGTGAAAGCAAAGAGAACTCAGCCCAACCGAGACAGCAACTGAAGTTTCATCTTCGCTGTTTACAGTTACTCTGTTTATCATTTTTACTCTTGTAAAAGAGCTAATGTATGCTGGGCTTAATACCTAGGTGATGGGTTGATAGGTGCAGCAAACCACCATGGCACACCTTTACTTATGTAACAAAACTGCACATCCCACACATGTACCCTGGAACTTTAAAAAATAAAATAAAATAAAATAAAGCATTTTCAACCCTAGAAAAAGAATTTGCAAACTTTTTCAGTGCTACATAAAAAATAGGAAATAAAACTCAGGCCCATCCCCAGCATGAGTGCTTCTCTTCAGTCATCGTCTCACAGCCAACTACAGACTGATGTGGCAATGGGAAAAAGAGAGAAAGGGAAAAATCTAAACCCTCAGGCTTCTCCCTTCCTACCTCTGCCCAACCCTGGAGTCCCAGGTGGCAGCCCAGTCCTGCTCCTTTCCCACACCACTCCCCAGAACCACCGCCTAGTCCCACTTGGAAGAAAAAGTGCTTAGAAGACTGAGTCTAAGTTTTCCTCTGAGTTATAAACGAATCTTCAGTTTTTTGCATATATCTGAAAACTCATTGTTAGCTCCCATCTCTGCCACCTTTTCTTACCAGAAATGAGTTGCAAAAGAACTGATAAGAGTCGTGGTCATAAGTAGGGAAGAGGTCGCTAGGATTAAAAATCCTTATAAAATTGAAATCACTCTGGTAGATGCTATGAGTAGGCATTCAACATCCATTCCACCCGCCTCTTTGTGTGTCTTCCTTTACTGCAAAGCCAGAAAAGCTAAAAAGCACAGTTTTTACAAACACTTGGACTTCTAGATGTGGTTTTGGTTTGACCCATTCAATGAACTGGTGCAATATCTGGAAGGTGGAAGTGAGTGGAAGTCATGTTACTGCTTTCTTCTGCCATTTCTACCCTTTCTGAGGATAAACCCATTATGGAGATTCAACAAAATTGCCTCCTGATGTGATAACTTGGTCCAAAATTTCTCATCACCAAAAATGCAGGCTGGTGTTTTCATGAGATTAATGTAGTGACTGGAGCAAGCCCACCCAGCTAGCCAGCTGGGAAGCTCTGAGTTTCTAGCTGCACACCTAAAGTTTGTTGTGTCCCTGCTCAGCTTGTGGTCAACAGTGGCGATTGTTTCTCCAGCTTTAACCCCAATGATACTCCCCAGACAGTGGCAGTATTTCCAGAAAGGCTCATCTTTGTCAGCCCTATCCAGAGAGTCTGGGATGGGGAGACTATCAGTGATGCATCCCAACTTCTCAAGGTAGGCTTACCTAGCTTGCCCTGCCTGGCCTTACCCCTTCCCACCTAGCCCCATCTTCCCCAAGAGAAAATGGGAACTTCAGCCCACTTCCATTCATAAACAGAGCAGACTGGGTGATAGCTGCCAGTCACTTTATATCCACACTTGCACTGTTGTGGGCCGCACCATCATGGGTTTTATTGGATTTGATTATTTCATGGCTGCATTAGCAGAAGACCCTGTCACTTAGCTTTGCAGGACTTAAGAAAGAAACAGTGCATGGGCGTCCATTCTGCCAGTGTGAATCATAGCAGTCACAAAGCAGTTCTGGTACAAGAGATGGCAGTAGTGACAATCCAGTCATAGGGCATCACCGGTTCGTTATACCACCAGGAGATCCCAGCCCTCCCTGAACCACTTTTACCTGCTCTTCTCTGTCCTCCTTTGCATTCCCACTACTTCATCCTCTTTATGGGGATTCGTGCCCCAGGCAAGCAGTTAGGCAAACCCCTTTTTCAACTATCCCTCAAAATGGGAACATCCATCCAGAAAGTGGTTCCTTGTTTCATTTCTATTCCTTCAATAAAAAGAAATAGATTTCTGGACACATTTTCCCCAAATAATCATCACAATTTACGGTCACTAGTTACTCTTGGTTTTAACTTCAGTAAGGTACATTGCTTCACATATACTAGGTTGAAATATATTAAGTTGCCATTTTGTAGGATAAAAATGGTCAGACATTGGCAATTTCATATAGTTCAACCTAATACATGAACAGATTTTTGTGAGCTGGGCTATGGACTATATATAACATTGACTACGAATCTCCAAATAATGGCTTACAAATGAATTTTTGACAAATATTTCTATGCTGACTTGTAAGATGCTTTAGAGGAGCAGTAGTGTATTATTCATCTTTGTATCCCTTACAACACTTACCATAAAGCCTTACACATCGAGCCACTCAATAAACATCTACCGAATGAAAGGAGAGTCTGATACAGATAGAAACTATATTTATATATATTGTTTATATGTATAAATATATACATATATTATATATAATTTATTTATTTCTATACCTTGTTCCTCAAAAGATATATGGCCTCAATTTAAAGAATAGAACTATTCTAATAGGGACAAATTATATCCAACAACTATAAACAATAATTTCAAAAAAATTTAAAAGGGAGAGATTGACATGAGACTAAACCATTTAGAAACACTCGAATCACAATCAGTTAAAAATTCCAAGCTTCCCTATCTGCACAGGATGGCCTATTGAATACCCATGCTTGCTTAAGTATTCCAAACTTCGGGGTGATCACTCCAGGCTGAAATTCCCTTGTCTATTTCTCTAAGATTGGGGCCAATCTGAAGCAACTCCCAGATCTGAGAAATAGAAGACAAAGGTGGAAGCTATCATTCACCCAGACTGAATTAACTCACAGTGAACTTATAAAATGTTGGAAGATGTGTGGATGGATTCAAGAACACATGGATAGATGCATGGATGGGTAAATGCATAGGGAGAGAGACTAATGGATGGGCAGTATGCTCATGTGAGAAGGAAGATGAAGAAAGAAATAATGCATGTCTCTTGTTCTCTACATATACATAGAGATTGGTTGTCTTCAATCTGCACAGTTCCTTTAATAATAATAATAATAATAATAATGAGTATTTTGTGTGGTATCCATCTGCCTGGCTAAAGTACTTATTTTAAAGCATCCTTGCCTTGGCAAAGTCCAATTCTGCTGAGCACACTCTCCTGCTAAGAAACAGGCTGAACCCTGATGATTACTAAATAAGAACATAATTAATTATTTCTTCAACTGAATAGTCCTGAATTCTACCACAAATCAATCAGTTCTTCTAGCCTAAGAAGCTCTGACTCTATTTTAGCTCAATGAAAACAAAATCAATGAAGGCCAATTATAGCCCATCTCGTTAGAGTATGCAAATGGTGTGCCATACAAATGCACAGCAATTGCTTCCAGCACAGCAGAGGATCCTAGGAGAGCCAACCGCGGGCTGCTCCTGGCCCCTAGCTGCTCAGGCCACACGGTACAGCCATACCTGGGGTCTTCCAGTGGAAGGGCAAGGGTAGGCTTCCTTCCTTCATTTCTTTAAAAAATATGTGTTTGGAGGCTCCTAGGCAGAAGGCATCACAGTGGGTCATCAACGTGCTGGGGAAAGTCTAAGGACAGATATCTGATGTTCAAAGATATTGGTCTATATTCCAGTGTAACAATGTTCTAGAGCTGAAAGCTGATTTGCTTATAATTTGTAAGCCTGCAGCCTGAGACGTGACACCCAAAAGTTTCTCAGCAAGGATAACATATATGTCACAAAGGGCCACGCAGGCCTTAGGGAGAGACACAGAGGGTTCATACGCAAGTGAGGCAGCGTCATTCGTCTGGAGTAATATCCAAGGTTCATTGCCTCATGCCAAGGAAATTAAGGACACAGACACATGTGGAGTGAGGCTAAGAGTGGAGGTTTAATGGGCAAAAGAAAGAGAAAAGAGAATAGCTCGCTCTCCTGCAGAGACGGGCACCTGAGTGGGTCCTCTGGTCCGGTGGTAAAGAGCACGGGGATTTATAGACTGGCTTGAGGAGGCAGTGTCTGTTTTACATAGGGCCCAAAGATTGGTTGGACCAGGTGTGACATTTACATAGCACTGGAAGAAGCTGGCCACCCCCATCCCCCGCTAATCTTTTATTATGCAAATCGATTTTTTTACATGGCCGCGCCATGTTGTCAGCTCCTTAGGGTATATGGGATTGATAAAAGGGAAGATGGAGCCTCCATATTGAACATGCCTGGTCCCCAGGTAGCCTTTTCCTATTAGCACAGCTGCTGGCATTCACCCGTGCAAGCTTCCAGCTTGCTTATCTACGTTTGCAACCCAATTTTACAAGTTGCTTTTTGTTAGAAAAGAAATTATTTGGGGGCTGCTTTTCATTAAAAGGGAAACGTTACTGAGGACTTCCTTACCCTCACTATCTGCCTAAATAATTTCTTTTTAACTCCTATATCACAAGGAACATTGAGGGGATCCAAAATAAAGCTCACTTGCACACACGCCCCCAGGATTTCCCAATACCCACCACAACCTTGCCACAGGGTTCTTTGGGGCCACATCATTCCAACTCTAGAGAACCCCTATTAAAATGCAAAGGCATCAGATGGGAAGGGTAGGTCACTAAGCTACTATTTCCCAAACTTCAGGTATTTGCACACCGCAGCCCCATTTTTCTCTATATGGGAGTACTGCTGATAGGTGCAGGAGCAGATAAGGGGGAGGGTCCCCAGAGAATCTCCCACCGCCTGCGCACTGGGAGAACAGGGTGGTGCCACAGGAAGTTCTTACCGTGTGGTCGGGGAGGAGCCTGGCCTCTTCAGCTCATGTGTGTGACCTGGAATCAATCTGTGACGTTGGGGGCCTGTTAGCAGGACTCCCTCTCACTTTGCTGGGAGTCTTTTCTTCTTCTTCTTTTCCTTTTTTTGCCCAATAAATTCTGTTCCCCTCACCCTTCAATGAGTCTGTGTTCCTAATCCTTCGTGGTCCTGTGACAGGAACCCAGTTTCAGCTGAACTAAGGAGCAAAGTTCTGCAACACTACCTGTAGTATTTTTATCATATTTCATTGAATCCAAAACGCTCTGATGTTGACCTTTCTTGATTTAACCACAAGTATCAACTAAAGATTCTACACCACTCTAAGCACTTTGCCTGACCTAGTTCATGGACATTGTAAGTTGCATGCTGTGTCATGATTTCAGAAAGGTTAAAATAATAGTGGAGCACAATGTGAACCTTTAAAAACAGTGAAATTCAGCAATATTTTCTCCTTAAATCAACTCTTTTTTTCCTTAATAAATTTCTTTATAAAACTTTTTTTAAATCACCGTCCTAGAAACCAGTATCACTAGCATAAATAAAAGGAAACTGTGTAAATAAATGCAATGAGAACAAAGAAATAAATTTAAATTCTAGCTAATATAATTAATCAAAGTGTACATTTTTATTTATGCCTCTTCTAGTGTGTATATTATACCTAAATACAAAAAGCAGTCTAAGAAATTATTCTAGCCCCCAAGGCTTTGAGCCTGAAGGCTACACTTGCTTTATTTAAAAGGGAGATGAGCAATTTTCAAGGGTTAAAAACACACTAGCACCAAAATGAAACTTTATCCTTGACTGAATCAGAAAGACTTGAGAAGAAATTGAAAACGAAATAATTTTCACTCTACGTGATTCAATGTTATGTAATGTCACGTCCATATGCCACCACCTAAAATGTTCTCCCCCATACCACTAGTCCCACAGTGCCACTCAGTACCTAAGAGACACTGGAAAACCACCATTAACCCGTTTCAAATAAGTTTACAGAATTCATAAACTGTCATTTTGGAGTGCCAAGTAAAGGACCCTAGGCAATGGGTGAGAGGAAAGGTAAGTTCTGAGAGGTCTGTGAGGAAGGGGAGCCCAAGCATAGAGGGACATCACAGAGAAAGCAGCCTGGGGGAAAACACCAAAGAGAGCCAGCAGGAGGGCCCTGAACTGCCAGGAAGAGGCCACCTAAGTGACCTGTGCATCCGGGAAGGAGATGTCCTGGGGTGGGTCTGCAGGAAAAGGAGACAATTGAAGGCTAATTAGGGAGAATAGAAAACAAATCTTGCCAACTGAGCAATTCTGACATCACACCAGAATTCCCATTGAAATGGGCACCTGTTTATCACAACTCTTAACATTGCCCTTCCACCGAGTTAAGATACAGAGGGTTCTATGACAACACAGGCAAATAGTGTATACATAGGGATCCTGAGTTATTATGCTAAGGATTTGAGAGAAAACTAGCACTCAGTTCTGGTATTTAATCACTATTAGTTTAGGGTTTGGGGATATTTTTTGTTGTTGTTTTTGGTCTAATTCTCTTAGTTCCAATATATACCAACTCCCTCCTATATGAAGAACAATTAGCCAGAATGGTTTTCACAATAATCTTTCTTATACACTAGCTGCCTCTTTTCCAAAAAGGAGCAAGCCCACTTCCTTTAACCTAAAGATATGGCTACTTAGACAGAGATCACTTAAAAGGCAAATTCTAGGCGTTCTGAGTCAGTACGAGCAGGAAGTTGGTACTCTTAACTAAGATAACATAAAAATGGAGAATTTAACTTTTTATCACAGCCATTGGAATTCCTCACTTACTTTTTGTTTCATTCATCATTTTGTGATTCTCCTTTAATATACAGGGACCAAAATTGGTAATTATATTCTAAATAATGGTTGGCAATGCCAAGTATTCAAGAACATATCCTTGCCCTTTTCATGTCATACTCCTGTTAATCCATCTCTCAATAATGTTCCCTTTTTTAAATAACAGCCTTACTAACTGCTGACTCATATTCAATTTATGGTCCACAATACTTTAGCCAATTCTTTTCGTACCCTTGAATGCAAATCATCAGGGCCTGCACATTTACAGATCTCACTTATTTAAATTATCTCCCTCCAAGTCTTCGTTTTCCCTTTTCATTTTCCTAAAGTATGCATTACCCATTTCCAGAGCCCATTCACTTGATCATGCAGAAAGGTTTTTAAAAAAGACATTGAATGCCCTGTGGCCTTTTGATGTCATCAGTGAGTCTCTTTCTTTCCTATCTAATCAAAGGACAACACTCCATTCTAGTCTTTTCTTGCTCCTGATAGAGTAGAAAAAAAAGAAATACTCTATTTCACCTTTGGAAGTTGCATCTCATTTCCTGCTTTAGTAATTCTGACCTTACTTCTATAAACCTTTCTACAGGTATTTGTCCTTGAAGCTTCAGCTTTTTCTAGAATTTTTTTCTATTTCAGAAGCTTATGTAGTTCTTTGACAAATCAATTGGATTTTTTCTGTCTTCTCAACTTTTTTAGACATGTATGTGAACCTATTCTTCCTTTGTAACCTTGACAAAGTTCTGATGATGTACTTTAAGAAATCTAATCTCCTGCTAAGTAATTAGTTTAAAAGGAGATGAAAGGAAGGAGCCCAAGTGAGCAGAAATTTTGCTAACAAAACATATCATTATAACATAAAACGTGAACCCTAATGTAAACTATGGTCTTCAGGTGATAATGATGTGTCAGTGTAGGTTCATCAGTGGTAAGAAATGTACCACTTTGTTGGCAGACACAGGAAGCAGGAAACGCTATGCAGGTGTGGGTACAGGGGATACATAGGAAATCTCTGTAACTTCCTCTCATTTGGCTGTGACCTAAAACTGCTCTAAAAAATAAAGTCTATTACAGAAAGGAAAAAGAGAAATGCCATGTTGCTTTTTAACAACTTGCCACTGGGATTTTTTTTTAACACTGAAGAATATACAGTTACTTTTACTTGGAATATTTTCTTCCTTTAAATCCTCAATACTTCCTTTTTCTAGAATATCTCAGAGAAAGTTATTCCAACATTATCTCCATCTAGCCAATGCAGAATTTGTTCTCGCCACCCTTTTTCCTGCTTTTAAACTAAATTCCTCTACTTACCTGAGTCCATGTCTTCCTATAATGTCCACAACATAGCAGGAATGAAAATCAGATTGTCACTATTTTTAATGTAAATCCAAATTTTATTGAGTATAGTTCCACAACCACTTTTCAACACCCCCACAGCCAGTGCTCTAGTGCAGATGATCAGATAACTCCAACAGCCCTCAACTGTTTGTTTATTTATTTATTTATTTTTGGGACAGAGTCTCGCTCTGTCACCCAGGATGGAGTGCAAGTGATATAATCTCTGCTCACTGTAACTTCTGTCTCCTGAGTTCAAGCGATTCTCCTGCCTCAGTCTCCCAAGTAACTGGGATTACAGGCACCCACCACCACACCCAGCTAATTTTTGTATTTTTAGTAGATAAAGGGTTTTGCCATGTTGGCCAGGCTTGTCTTGAACGCCTCACCTCAGGTGATCCACACCCCTCGGCCTCCCAAAGTGCTGGGATTACGGGCATGAGCCACCGCACCCGGCCAAGCCCCCAATTGTTGACTTGCTTCCACTTTACTTCACCTGCAGTGTGTTTTCCATACAGTAGCAGAGAGATCCTTTCAACATATAAATTAGATCATGTTGAGCCCCTGCTATTAGTACTCTCTTGGCTTTTCATCACACAGGTACCTCCAAAAAAATCCAAATTCCTTATCATGGCCTATCTGCCCCCCCATCCCCCGCCCCCCAGCCATGCCCCTTCCTGCTCTTGCTTATTAAGTGGTGATTAGGGCCATGTTCATCTTGGTACCAGCACCATTGCACTTGCTCCCCATTCCTGGAACACTCTCTTTCACATTGTTATCGGCTTAAATATCATCCCTTACTACCTTGTGCTGCTTTATTTTTCTTCATTCCAATGACCAAACCTGACATCATATTTATTATATATGTATGTATTTATTGAATACATCTCCCTACTAGAATGTAAGTCCTGTGAGGACTTACAGGGATTTTGCCTGTTTTGTTCTCTGCTTATTTCCAGCCACTGAAACAGTTCCTGGGATGCAGGTGCTCAAAAATAATTTTGGAATGGGTAAGTGATGAAATAATTGCTGGTCTTTTTTACCTAGTAATCTATCACATTCCTTTAGGCACACAAATTACACAATGATGTAACAATTACTTGATGAGAACAGAATGCTTGGAACTCACGTCTTTGCTCCTCAGAAGTCTCATACAAAAGAAAAGTATTTGACTTTATAATTATAATGCAGTCTGGAAATTCCTATCATGAAATACTATTCTGGGTCATTCGTTGCAGGCTCACTGGGAAAAATAATTTGCAGTTTATAATTTGCGGAGGAAAGTTTTGCTTTGCCTACTGCTCTTTGTAAAGGTCAGAAAAGATAGCATTGATGAGGGTTCCGGAGAGGTGAGAAATGCTAAGGAAATAGTCATTCTGGGTTGAATGACGAGATCTAGGAATGCATGAGAAGTGTGCTAAGTGCTTGAAGAGAAGCCTAGAGTAAGAAAGCTCCTGGGAGAATATGTTCTTTCTGCCGCGGCCACAGCAGCAGGGAAAGAGAAAACCAAGTTATAATCACCACGTGAATCTCATTTAAAATCAGATCTGGTCTGGAATAAAACCCTCAGGAGGAAAATAATTAACTATGATATCCAGGAACTGTTTTCATAAGCATTCTTACTTTTAAAATGTTAAATCAAAATGCTTTTCTTCCAAATGAGAAAACTCCTGTTACATTTCCCATTGTTTCATCACAATTAAAAATGAACATGTGATCCATTTAGCAATTATGCATTCATGCATTTCATCATTCATTTAAAAAATAGTCAAACATTTATTGCACACTTGCTATGTCTATGGTGCTAGAAAAACAGCATTAATTGTGGCAGGGGGTTGGGGGCAAGAAGTGGTTGAAAGATGTCGTCCCTGACCTCACAGAAATTGCAGGCCATTGTATTGGTCAAATAGGCTTCAAACATGACTGCTGTCTGCTGCTCTTGTCAAAAAGAGAGTTGGTTATGATCCAAGCATCCAGCAGCAACCAAAGAGTCTAAGGAAAAACAATTCGGGCACTTATTTGACCATGGCCACAAGAAAAGTGATGATTCTCTAAGTGTATTACAAAATAAACAGCTCCATTAAATTCAATGTTATTAAATATGCTTGTATGTGAGAGAGAATATGAGTTGTTATTTATTTCTTAATGGGGTTTTAATGGGTATGGGTTTTACAAACAGTTTTAAAGGACTGGGACTACATTTTCCAATGATATTCTAACATTTAAGTTAAGTTGCCTTCGCTCTCTAAGCATACTTGGTACTAGCAACGGGCTGGACTTTATACTAAAGTCCTAATAATTCAGGTTCTGTGTTATGGTTAACTGAAATTAGTCAGAGGATCAAGATAAGGTGAATGTTGTGTAGTTTCTGATTACAAACACTTCTATTCTATTCTTCCACTTACATACAACAACACGCAGAATAGAAAAGAAGAACTGACACCATCCCAATCTTTTAATTTTCCACTGGGTAAACTATAGTAGTAGAAATCGTAGACGGGTTTGCTCAACATCCACTCCAACATGTCTGGCATGTCTTTCTGCACTGCAGAAGCTAGAAAAATACAAACCACATTTTTCCTAACTTACCTGAAGACGCACTTGAGCAAGACCCCAATTCAAGCTAGTGTAAGTGGGAAGGGAGATACTTATCTTGCTGGCACAGCTTTAGCAGGCAAATCATGGCTCCAGAGTCCATCATGTTGGAGCCAGTTTCCTGATCCCTAGACTTCAGCCTGGGTGGTATGTTTCTGAGCCAGCAGTGGAAGCAGTGATTTCCTGATTCCAGATGCACAGCTAAGGTAACATAACCCTGTACCCAACAATAGGCCCCATGACCTCCTGATTCTCCAACTTCCTGGTTGCGTCCAGTTTGAGTTCCTTTGCCAGGCCGGGTTTGAATTGTCCTTCTGTTAGTAGCTGGGGGAGGGCCAGCCTGGGACCTGCTCCTCCAGTCCATCCACCCTCATTCCATGATTTAATCTTCTTCTGCATGAAATAACTGAAGTGGTTTCTCCTGCATGCCACTGAATGCTGACTGACAGGACCTCTGAGCACAATTCTACCCCAGGGTTAACTGTCAAAACCAGGCTGCCTCTGCCTTCTCCATGTCTATAGAAAACCTTTCCTGAGTCTTATCTAAACAAGACATTGTGTGGCATTTTAAGGTTTTTTATTTTATGCTACTTTAATGACTCCTTAAAAAGAACATAAAATTCCTTTTATGTCTCTTTGTCCTCTCTTCTCCTCCATTTTTGGTCAGCCTCCATTTCCTGGGTCATGGTGAGCTCCTTGAAGTAGATCTGTTAATGCAGGGGTAATAAAAACAAGACGTGCCTGGAAAATATTGGAAGGGGACAGAGTAGGGCAGGATGGAAGTGAGAAATTCCATTTTTACTTTGGTACAAATTATTTTGTTGAAAAATTGTGCCTGAAAAAACATCAAAATCTAGGATTCCATACTTACTTTTAAGACAGAACGTTAGAGATAATGTAGTCAAGCCTTCCAAAGTTGACTAAAAGAATGAGATATTTAGTTCTTCTTTGCAATTTTTAAGCCAACTATCACCCTCCAGCATGTAGAGAGAAATAATAATAATAATAATAGCTTCTATTTATTGGGAGTTAATGCTACGCAAGACTATATGATAGATCAAAACTTATGCCACCCCTCCGTCATCATTTACTTTCTATAGATGAAAAAACCAAGGCCAGGAGAGAATAAGTAAATTGCCCAGGGTGTTAACTCTAAAAACAATCCTTCTGGTACATTCATTTAATCCTTCATTACATTTCTCTTTGAGTGCTTCGAAGGGACTCTGCTTCCCCAGGAGCCAGGTAGGGGGCTAGAGTAGGAGATGTAGCTGTGAATAGATCAGACACAGTTCTACAGCATGCCCACTTCAGCAGAGGACAGCTGGTCATGCCCACTGCCATTGCTTGGGAAACCTTACGTGACCAGCTCTCAAGGCATCAGGGACCATCTCTTTTAAAGAACACTTTGCTTTGATTCTAACCTTTTCCCTTTTGCTTTTCATGCCTGAGTTTGCAACCTAGCACTGCTACTTATTGGCGATGTAGCCATGGGAGAGCGATTTCAACTCCCTGTATCCCAGTTTCCTCATCTTGAGAGTGAGCGTAATAAAATGACCCATGTCATAGGGGTTATGGTAGGATTTGGGTGGCACAGCACCATCCATTACAAAGGGACTTGACCTTCAAATATATAATTGTAAGTAAAGCATTTAGAAGAGTGCTGGCACATAGTACCACTCAATAAATGTTGCTTATGGTTGTGATTATTCTTACTGTTATTATGACTGTAGCACCATACAACCTTAGAAGTACACAGAGTACTTACTATTTACCACAGTATGAGAAAAAGGAACACTCTTCTCAGAATGGGAGAACCAAAAAAAAAAAAACAAGTCATTTTAGTCTGACTTGGTTTAAGTTTGGTAGCACGGCCCTGTAACGAACAGTGGGTCCTGTGACCTCCTGATTCTCCAACTGCTGGAGAAGGCATGTTCCTCCTAACAACTTACTCAAGCTTCATTTGAGGATTCGGCTCATAAAGCCTGTTGCTACTTCACTTAAGCTTTAAACCAAGGTAGTCCCTTATGCCCAGATGTGTGGGTTACTATAGTTTGCTTTGAAAATCCACACTGACATCTATTTCCCCAAGTCAGCAGTACTTCAGTACATTCTACTAGTCTCTCAAAAGATAAGTAGTCCTTTTGTAATAGACAGTGCTGTACGACCCAAATCCCAGCTTCAGGGCTGGAGAAGTCATTCCCACTGCTGCTGGGCACCCTGCCCTCCAACAACCCTCAGCTCTCAGCCCTTTGGGAACCACCCTCAGCTGGCTAAAGACAACCATCACAGCCAAGATCTTGCCCACTTTCCAGGGTCATTGAATGCAGATTGACCCTGGGAAGTGGCCAAGACCTTGGTTGAGATGGTTGTCTTTAGCCAGCTGAGGGCTGTTCCCAATCTGCATTCAATGACTGGTGGATATAGGAGTATAAAACTCCAGCCTCCAAGCCCAAGTGGGGACAACTCCAAAGGGCTGGGCCAGCTGCAAAGCTCCTGGGAGTTCAGCCACATCACAGCTCAACTTCTTCTTCTGCCCAATCCTTCCCCTGTAGGCGTTCATCCCAAAAGCATTAACTTTGGCGTTTGTAGACAAAGACTTAGCCTTTTGGGATTGACGCCTACTGGGAAAGGATTGGGCAGAAGGAGAAGTTGAGCTGTGATGTGGCTGACTACTTCCCAAAGAATCCAACCCACGACATTTATTCTGTGGATGTGAACTGCAAGTTTGCTACATGTCAAAACTGCTCTCCTCAAAACTACCAACCACAATTCAACTGTACCCACATCTCAACTGTAAATATTGAGCAGTTCCCCAGCTCCTGGGCTTTCCCTTCAGTAGAATGGTCCATAGGGAGTTCTATTGGAATAGCGACTTTGTCAGCTTTTTTCTAGCTCTTTGTTTTATTTTGTTCACCCATCTGTGCGTTTGAGGTAGAATATGTTCAAGGCATGTTCCTCCTAACAACTTACTTGAGCTTCATTTGAGGATTAGGCTCATGAGGCTGGTTCCTACCTCACTTAAGGGGAGTCCTCGCCCATGAGGCTCCCTAGCACCTTATGCAAATAGACTTCTGTCACGCCCCTTGAACCCCAGCTGTAAACACAGCTGACGTTCACATGGCTTGTCCAGGACACTTGATTTACTATTAACTGCTTAATGTTGTTTTCTGGGAGGAGGCAAGCATAAATATTTGCCTTCTTTTTTTTTTTTTTTTTTTTTTGAGACGGAGCCTCGCTCTGTCCCCCAGGCTGGAGTGCAGTGGCGCGATCTCGGCGCTCACTGCAAGCTCCGCCTCCAGGATTCACGCCATTCTCCTGCCTCAGCCTCCCAAGTAGCTGGGACTACAGGCGCCCGCCACCAGGCCCGGCTAATTTTTTGTATTTTTAGTAGAGACGGGGTTTCACTCTGTTAGCCAGGATGGTCTCGATCTCCTGACTTCGTGATCTGCCCGCCTCGGCTTCCCAAAGTGCTGGGATTACAGGTGTGAGCCACTGCCCCCAGCCAGTATTTGCCTTCTAACAGAGAAGAGTCAAACTCAGCCCAGTTAGAAGTTGTCATTTTAAAAAGACTGAACAAGGCGGGGCACGGTGGCTCAACGCCTGTAATCCCAGCACTTAGGGAGGCCACAGCGGGTGGATCACAAGGTCAGGAGTTCGAGACTAGCCTGGCCAACATAGTGAAACCCCGTCTCTACTAAAAATACAAAAATTAGATGGGCATGGCGGCACACGCCTGTAGTCCCAGCTACGTGGGAAGCTGAGGCAGGAGAATCGCTTCAACACGGGAGGCGGAGGTTATGGTGAGCCGGAATCGTGCCACTGCACTCCAGCCTGGGCGACAGAGTGAGATTCCATCTCAAAAAATAAATGAATAAATAATAAAAATAAAAAGACTGAACGATTGCTAGTTTTCTTTGAAACCAAAAGAATTGTCTTAGAAAGCAGAATTCATCCCTATGAGGGTGAACTCAGGACATTTACTGTCTGACTGGTGTATAATTTCCAGCTTCTTAATAAGGAGGACATGACATAAATTTGCTTTGCAGCCCAGGGCAGGTACTTCCAATGTGTCTTTCTTCTCCTTGAGCACAGACTTTGCCTTAGTGGTATCTGCTTCATGCTCTCATCACTACCAGAGCCCTTGAGGAGGATTAATCCCCAATACCAGGATGACTTTACCTAGTGGAGAAAAGTCAGTGGAACGGCTGCCGAAGAGGAGAGAGCAAAACAAATCGGGTGGTGTGGGTTTGTGAACAAGGGTGATTCTGTTTCAGCTGCTCCCATTGTCGGTCACTCTTTCACGTGTCCCGACGGCTATCCATGGCTCTCATCCCAAGTGCAGTGAGCAGGCCTCCCACTTTCCATCCCGGTTCTCAGCCCAGAAGAGCAGATGGCACAGGGTGCGCCTATGCCCACGAAGGAGAGGAAAAACTACATCCCAGGGGAAACCCAGGCCCCCCTCTCAGAAAAATAATAAGCCTGTTACTTCTGAAGAAATCCTGGATCAGCCTTTTTAAACATAGGTCAAATTTTAATCCTAAGAGATTTATCAAATGGATATTTTATGCCTTAAATCTATGCATCCACTAGAAAATGGCTCTTATAATTACAGTACATATCAATAAAAGAATGATTTTAGTTCAGGGGAAAAAATGATTGCATAAACTGACAAGAGAAAGAACTCACACATGTTAATCCATCACAGCAATTGAATGAAATGCCTATCCTATTGTTGATAATGATAATATGCATAGCTACTATGTATTGGACACCTGTACCAGGAATTATGCTAAATTGTTTTACATTATCTCATTTAATCCTGATGACTAAACTATAGTGAAGGAATTGTGCCCTGGATTACAGATAAGAAAATGGGATTTTAGAGGGAGGAAGTAAACTGCCCCAGATTACACAATAGAGAGTAGTGGGAAAAGGATTCCGATCAGGACTGCCTGGCTCTGCCCTTAACCTCTACTTACTGGCCATTGCCAGCTTTTCACACCTTTGTGACAAAAACCAGGATAGAGGTTCCGCACTGAGCCATTCTCTCTCCTTCTGTTAGTAACAACATCAGGGCCTGCCTGTCCTGAAACTAAACCAAGGGACTCCACGGTTTGGTTCCTGAGGCTTCCTGTCTAAAGGTATGCACAGGCTGGGCACGGTGGCTCACGCCTGTAATCCCAGCACTTTGGAAAGCCAAGGCAGACAGATCACCTGAGATCAGGAGTTCGAGCCGAGCCTGGCCAACATGGTGAAACCCCGTCTCTACTAAAAATATCAAAAAATTAGCCAAGCATGTCGGTGCACACCTATAGTCCCAGCTACTTGGGAGGCTGAGGCATGAGAATTGCTTGAACATGGAAGGCGGAGGTTGCAGTAAGCTGAGACTGCACCACTGCACAGCCTGGGTGACAGAGCAAGACTCCATCTCATAAATAAATAAATAAATAAATAAATAAATAAATAAATAAATAAATAAAAAAAATACATGCACTCTACCACCCTGGCTTCTCTTCACTGTGGTCAAACTCATAGTTCTCTTTCCTCGCATTCAAAGGTACTTGAACCTGGACCCATTCTCAGATGTTACAGACGTTGTTTCCTCAAGCTACTACACAGTCTTGGTACTGAAGACAAATATATTAGAGATGTCAACTTGTTTCCAGCTTCAAAGTTTTCAATAAAGCACAATAAAGCTTTCGATAAAGCCCAAGATTCATCTTGAATGCAGTGGACAAACTACTTCTGACTAAGGGCTTACTCACATATTTTTGTCTTCTTAGATACACAAGAAACACTGAGCTATTTGCATGGCATTACTGAGCTTTAGATATTTTTGTATTAATTTTTTTGAGACAGTCTCACTCTGTCATCAGGCACTCTGTCATGCCAGAACTAAACTGTGGCACGATCTTGGCTCACTGCAGACTCAAACTCCCAGACTCAAGTGATCCTCCCACCTTAGCCTCGAAGTAGGCGGGACCACAGGCATGGCCACCATGCCCAGCTAAAAGGGTATTTTATTTTTAATTCAAAATGAAATGCCAGAGAGCAGCTTACTCATTTGGAAGGGACCGTCCCTTCCTTTGATTCTCCCAGCCTATGTAAGGGCTCCAATAGCTCTTAGCTTGGGTCACCTTGACCTGCAGCTATCTGAGGACTTGATTCACCAGTTAGTCCAAGCAGAAAACTCTCTGAGAAGAGATTTCTTTTGCTGATCTTCCGTTCTTAGGGCCCTTTATGTCCTCAAAAAAACCGTTGTTGAGTTTAATTTTACCTTTAATTCACACCGAAACAAAGTCAAAAGAAAACCCATCTTATAGAGTGACCCACTCATCCTGGTTTGCCAGGGACTTTCCCAGGTTGGGCACTGAAAGTTTTATGTCCTGGGAGCATCCTCAGTTTGGGGCAAACCAGGAAACTGGTCCTCTCTGGCATATGTATACCAACTTAAAAGTCAGCCACCTACCCAGGAAAAAAACAAAAAATATCTTACATAAACATTTGGCCTTTTCCAAAAACCAAAATGGAACCTAATATGGCAGATTTGGAGACACTCCAAGCTACACAATGAACTTAAAAAGAAAACAAGATTTTACCCCTAAATATATTTCTTTTCTACGCTCTTTTAAAGAACTTTATAATTACATCACAACTATCAAAACATACAAGAGGAGGGGTCAGATGATGGCAGGGAGAGGCCAGATCCTCAGTGTGTGCTTCAGCTCTCAGAACTCCAAGTTAATGTGAACTAAATTGTACCTGTGTCATTTCAGCAGCATACTGTTGCACATGGTTTTTGGTTTTAAGTCAATGTTTCTTAAGGGCCAAAGGGTTAAGGAGAGGTCGCAGGCACAATTGGAGAACCTAAAAACCAGATATCATTCTTGAGAGACTATAATAGCCTGGTGATCAGTTCAAGAAAATCACAGTCATTCAAGATGATGTCTTACATGCACTGGCTTCTCTGTAAAATGAATTTACCTTTTCATTATTATTTACTGAGTGAGCCAGTATTTCATTTGTATGGATTTTATCCAGCAACTGGGGGGGAAGAAAACACAGAAAATCTAATAAAAAAATGAAGCTGCTGTACAATATTTGGAGTCTGTATCCTGCCTTTGTAGGTCATGTTTCTGTTTTTATGATGTTCATTTTAGAAAATGAAAAATATGTATACATACAGAGATATGCATTTTATGTATTTCAATTGACAGCAGATTTGACCTGACAAGTGTGGAGACATACTTATGAGGAATGACAGCAACCAAATAGTGGCAAAAATAAAACCACAACCTCACAAGCAGGTTGGCCTCATAGGTTTATCATTTCAGTAATAATGTGGAATCTTTTCTGCCCGGCACAGACGTTTCAGCTCCACCATCTCGGGATGGGTGGTAGAATACAACACAGTTAGATTTGGCACTGGGTGCCATTCCCCATGGAGAAAGTTGAACTTCTAGAAAGCATGTTCATTAGCAAGTATCCTCCTCTTAAAAGGGACCTTCACTAAACCTTCAACCTTCCATTTCTCATCATCTGTTGTTAACTCCTGGGAGGCAGGAAGCTTCACAATCAAGCATATTGTTTATAGTATCACTGCATTGTGCTGCACGGTACCATCCAGGCCAGAGTTCACTCAAAAGCCTTTAGAAATTAAAATATCTTGTGCAATAATTTTCCAACTGGACCCTGGTATATGATCACATGACAGATAGCAGACCCTGAAGAAAATCAAAATATTTTACCCCCAAATATATACATATAGAGAGAGAGAGAGAGAGAGAGAAAATATATATATCATATATATTTCTCAAAAACATGTATGTCATATATATTCCTCAAAAATATATGTCATATATATTCCTCAAAAACATATATGTCATATATATTCCTCAAAAACATATATGTCATATATATTCCTCAAAAACATATATGTCATATATATTCCTCAAAAACATATATGTCATATATATTCCTCAAAAACATATATGTCATATATATTCCTCAAAAACATATATGTCATATATATTCCTCAAAAACATATATGTCATATATATTCCTCAAAAACATATATGTCATATATATTCCTCAAAAACATATATGTCATATATATTCCTCAAAAACATATATGTCATATATATTCCTCAAAAACATATATGTCATATATATTCCTCAAAAACATATATGTCATATATATTCCTCAAAAATATATGTCTTATATATTCCTCAAAAATATATATATCATATATATTCCTCAAAAATATATATATCATATATATTCCTCAAAAATATATATATCATATATATTTCTCAAAAATATATATATCATATACATTTCTCAAAAATATATATATCATATACATTTCTCAAAAATATATATATCATATATATTTCTCAAAAATATATATATCATATATATTTCTCAAAAATATATATATCATATATATTTCTCAAAAATATATATATCATATATTTCTCAAAAATATATATATCATATATATTTCTCAAAAATATATATCATATATATTTCTCAAAAATATATATTATATATTTCTCAAAAATATATTTATTATATATATTTCTCAAAAATATATATAATACATATTTCTCAAAAATATATATAATATACATTTCTCAAAAAATATATATTATATATTTCTCAAAAATATATATATTATATATATTTCTCAAAAATATATATATTATGTATATTTCTCAAAAATATATATATTATGTATATTTCTCAAAAATATATATATTATATATATTTCTCAAAAATATATATATTATATATTTCTCAAAAATATATATATTATATATATTTCTCAAAAATATATATATAGAGAGAGAGACAGAGTCTCACTCTGTCATCCAGGCTGGAGTGCAATAGCATGATCTCAGCTCACTACAACCGCTGCCTCCCGGGTTCAAGCAATTCTCCTGCCTCAGTGATCCCAAGTAGCTGGGATCACAGATGCGTGCCACCGCGCCCGGCTAATTTTTTGTATTTTTAGTAGAGAAGGGATTTCACCATGTTGGCAGGCTGGTCTTGAACTCCTGACCTCAAGTGATCTGCCCATCTCGGCCTCCCAAAGTTCTGGGATTACAGGCGTGAGACACCGCGCCCAGCCCCGAAACATATTTATTGACATATTTTGAAATACCCCTGCAAAGCCATCTTTTGTAGGAGAAGTTTGCATCTGTAGAGAATCTCCATCAATGCAGCCAGACCTTCCTTTTCCAGGCCTTC
Source organism: Homo sapiens (assembly GCF_000001405.40). Taxonomy (NCBI): domain Eukaryota; kingdom Metazoa; phylum Chordata; class Mammalia; order Primates; family Hominidae; genus Homo; species Homo sapiens. The sequence goes on along the minus strand of NC_000004.12, from coordinate 83,648,570 downwards.
TAGGCTCAGCTGACTTCAAGTCTTTAGACAAAGCTGAAGTTTTTCAACCACGTGTCAATCGGAAAAGTCTTTGAATCCACCTGTGGCCTGTAAGCACCACCCCCTATTCAAGATTTCCCACCTTTTTGGGCCAAACCAATACGTACCTCCCATGTATTGATTTTATGTCTTTGCCCGTAACTCCTGGTCTCCCTAAAATGTATAAAACCAAACTGTAACTCAACCACCTCAGGCACACTTTCTCAGGACCTCTTGATACAGTTCCCCAGGCCACGGTCACTCATATTGGCTCAGAATATACCTCTTTAAGTGTTTTACAGAGTCTTTCATGAACAGGAATATTCATTCCCATTCTATCTCTGATTGTTAATACTTGACCACATTTTGTTTCCCCAACTCTTCGGCTGTTTTGACAGTGGTAGAAAGATCACCTGTCAAGCATTGCTTACAGTATCCAAATACAGGAAGTGGCATTCCCTTTTCATCAGTGAAGCATCTGGGTGTCTCTACCCAGATCCAGAGCCATAGGAGCAGCTCCAAACCTTCTGGGTCCCCCAGGAGAGAGTCCACAGTCACTCATCCAGTGCTCAGAGCCTGCCAGAGTAGAGGTATCAGCTGGGTCATCCATCACCAGGATAGGAGGTGCAACAGGCGTCAGCTTGTTTCTACACGGGCTATTACAACATCTCTAGGCCCCATATCCATTGCAGATTGCCCCTAATTTGAGAACTCAAGGTAAATCTTAAATCTTTGCTTGAGCTGAAAACCAAAATTCAAGCTAAAATTAACAGTAAAACCTGCAGTAATTCTGAATAATGATGGTCTCTGTAACAATACAGCACCAGAAATTAAATACTAAAAACCTATTTGAAACAACAGCTCTGTGGCCCACTTTGATGGACACAAAATAACGCTTTTGTTGTTTGTATGAAGTAACATTAAAGAGGAAAAGGGGAATACAAAATGGCATTGTTAGGACAATGTAATCGATTGGTTATCATGATGCAGAATATTTATATGTACATTAGTAAAGATAGAAGATTATTTTGAGTAATAAAGTGGTTTAATAATTATTTTTGGTAAATCTGTTTACATTTGGAAAGAAATTTGAATGGAAGAGAGAGATGTGCAGAAAGAGTTAATATAACTTTAAATGGAACTGGTTTTAAACAAGTGACTCTGTGCTGCTGTCCCACAAAATGCTCCCTTAGAAACCTCTGGCATCCCTCAGGGTCAAACGTGCATAACTTAGTGACCATTTCATCCTCTGAATCCGTAGGTGCCACCCTAGTCACACATTACACTATCACCTTTAACTTTGTCATTCTTCACTCTGCCTAGACCAGAGCAGACTTTTAGAGAATCAAAAGTACAGCCCCACTGGAAATGAGTAAAACCCTACCCCCCAAATAAATGTTTGGTCAGATGGTGTTATCCATCAGAGCTGAAGGGACATGAGGCTAGTGAAGAGAAGATTCTGGGCTTTATGTTAATGCTGACCTTCTCTGGAGCAACGTGGTCTCTTTAGCTTCCACACATGTCTAATCACTAGGGAGTTGTCTAGCTACACGAATTTTTCACATTTGTCAGCTAAATCAGCGCTCCAAATGCACAATGCAGCACTTAGAAACATTATGTGAATTTATTAAATTCTCTGGAGGACTTTGGGTCCATAAAGCAGTAAATTGATTACAGAGAACTGAGGCCATAATATTTTCATCAGCAGCAAAAGCTGCTGTGCTCCCATATTGTGCATGGCATATGAAGAGAAGCTGTTCCTCACTTCACTTGAGCTGGCAGGCTGAGAATCACACAGGAAACAAGGGGAAGGCTCTGGAATGCATCAAAATGATGCGTCATTTAATCAGTTTCTTTCAGAACGCCAGCTTTCAGGTACGCCTCTTATAAGAAAACTAAGGAAAAATATAAATAGCCTCTTCCTGCTTTGGATTTGCCTATGAATGCTTTCAGAATTAGCCCTCATGATCATAGCTGTTCATTGACTTTACCATGAAAGAGCGTATTGACATTATTATCAAAATAAGGGGCATTAGTAGCAGGTCAGGAGGAAACGATGGGTCTGTGTTGATGACATGGCTTGGATACTAAACATGCTTACATGTGGTTTGATGATCACATAACTGATGACCAATATCCCCTCCAAAGAAGGAAGGGAGAATCCTAACACTTTCTAGGATGCCCACCATGCCAGGAATTATTATAGGTGCTTTTCCATAGATTATCCTATTTCAAACTTTGCAACAATCTTAAGAGCTAGGAATGATAATTCCTGTTTTTAAGGGAGAAAGCCAAGGCTTAGTAAATTGCCCAAAATCACACGGCTGAAAAATTAGGTTGGAATCCAGACCAGGACTGTGTGTTTCCAAAGACACCCTTGTTCTTTGACCCCATTTCAAAATCTTTGATGTTCGTGTCTTCTAAAAGATTTCACTCCCCAGAAAGTAATTGGATAGCTTTCTGCTGCTGCATGGGAAAACTTTTGTCGTCTCAAATGTTTCTGGAGGGAGAGGAAGGGGTAAATCTCGGGGCAGTCGTGTTAGTGTCCTGGCACTAGAGCTGTCATTTTAGAACCTGCGAGAAGACTAGAATATTCTAGGCTAGTCCTAGAATATTATTTTGGCCATTTCACTGTGTCTTTGAGCCTTCTTCGGGCATCCTGGAAAAGGGAGTGATTATGACATTTAGGTATGATGAATGATAATCCTTTTTAAATCTATTAACTGGATTTTGATAAACATCTAAAATGACCGTAGTTCTTCCCTCTGCATTGAAAGGAGTGATGCAAGAGGAATAACCAGTGTGTTGGCAATTCTTACTTCTTGGTTGCCTCCAGACTAAACAAGGTCTTCGTATAGAGGAGCAGAGACCTTGCTACAGGAAGACCATGGAGGCAGGGAACAACCACTCCTCTCCTTGCACCACAGCTCTTGGACTGAGTTCTTTGGCTGTGATGGAAAAGAAGCAGTGTCTCTATAAGGCCTAAAAACCCCTGGCTAAAGGCTAATCTCAAAGGGAGGGCTCTGTCTTACTAAAATTTGTGGATTCCCAGTGCTTGGCAGACTGCCTGGTACACAGTAGACCCCCAGTAAGTGTTTATTAGATTCAATTGAAATATTAAGACAGCTCAGCAGTTTGTCAAGTTATAAATGCAGGAGTATGAGAATTACTTTGTGAGCTGTTTTTAAATATAGTAATTTGTGAGCATAATTGTATTTCATATGTGGTAATTCACAAAGTTAAGCCCAGCACTTCCCAGTTCATCTTAAAGCTATCTATTCAAGCAACTCTTGACTCTATAACAAAAACTATCCACTATCCATTATATCTGAATTTTTCTCAGCATATGTGCCCATCCAGAATAGTATTTCAAAACTGGAATTATCCAGGCCACACTGGAGCATATAATCAACTTGGAATTAGCCATTTTTTTCTTTTTTATTATTTCTTCCCCATATTGGCTGCAGTTGTATGAATTACAGATTTTATCTCCCTCAGACTTTTTTGCTTATGGAGTGGGGTGACTGATTTTGGTGCTTTCTCTTTTATTGCCTGTCTGACGTTAAAAATCCTATCAACCGTTCGGAAACTAATCTAATTCATTTCGAGAATAATGTTGTGAACTCTATTTACAGAATCCAAAGCCATAAAGCTTCTAATGCTACGTGAAACAGCACCCCCTACTGGCAATGTTGTCACATTACATCATCATATCCTCAGCACTGAAATCCATCTCTCTCCTGTTGAGAAACTTTGACAAGTAACTTCACAAACAGAACCTATTTAAAATACTTCAAATAGAACAAATCTCTTACTCTGTTTTACCTTCATGGAAACTATTCCTTGATAACAATTTTTGCTAAGAAAGGAAAATATGTGATCTCCCTTTTTCTAGGACCATAAAGTTGTAAAAGGCAAGTTTATTTCAAACTTAACATCAGGTGGGTCCAAACCATGCACTTCATGTCTCTGTGTTTCAGCAGTACAATTCTTTGTATAGCAAATGTACTTTCTTACAAAACACCAAAACTAGCTTTAAAAATAATTGCATATGATTTTTTCACTGTGACCATTTATTCATTCCCGACCACAGCATTCATTCAACAAGTAATTTTTTTTTTTTTTTGAGATGGAGTCTCACTCTGTTGCCCAGGCTGGAGTGCAGTGGTGTGATCTCAGCTCACTGCAACCTCTGCCTCCTGGCTTCAAGCGATTATCTTGCCTCAGCCTCCCAAGTAGATGGGATTACAGACACGTGCCACCACGCCCGACTAAAATATATATATATATATTTTGTATTTTTTGTGGAGACAGGGTTTCACCATGTTGGCCAGGCTGATCTTGAACTCCTGACCTCAAGTGATTTGCCTGCCTCTGCCTCCCAAATTGCTGGGGTTAGAGGCGTGAGCCTCTGCACCCGGCTACATTTAACAAATATTTACTGATCATCTAGGCTTGAGAATACCACAGTGAATAGCATGCATCTGGTCCCTGCCCACATAGAGCTTACAGCTGAGGTGACAGAATAAACCCATCCAATGCTGGATTTGACTAAGGAAACATCTGTGGAATCACAGAGCAAGGGTACTAGCATAGCCAACGGGAATTCAGAGAACCTTATCGCTGGCACTGTGAGTGCCCCAACCATTCCCCAGGACACACTGAAAGTTACTTGGCGCTTCAGTAGATTGTTCTCATCTTATTCTTGGTTTCCCGCATCAAACACCTGCATTTCTCTGGCCGAGGACTTCTGCTAGCGACAAAATGGGCAAGCTAAAAGTACCAGGGAATTAAGCAACCCTCAGCCAGTGAGGGACAGGAGTTGGTGGATAGACACCCTAGCTCCCTTGCCCTTCAATAGATAATTCTGAAGTGTATTCCACTCAGGCTCTTAGAAAGTCCCTGGCCAGGCACAGTGGCTCACACCTGTAATCCCAGCACTTTGGGAGGCCGAGGCGGGCGGATCATGAGGTCAGGAGTTTGAGACCAGTCTGGCCAACACAGTGAACCCTGTCTCTACTAAAAATACAAAAATTAGCAGGGTGTGGTGGTGTGTGCCTGTAATCCCAGCTACTCAAGAGGATGAGACAGGAGAATCACGTGAACCAGGAGGCAGAGGTTGCAGTGAGCTGAGATTGCGCCACTGCACTCCAGCCCAGGTGACAGTGCGAGATTCAGGACAGAAAGGAAGAAGAAAAGAAAAGAAAAGAAAAGAAAAGAGAGAGAAGGAAGGAAGGAAGGAAGGAAGGAAGGAAGGAAGGAAGGAAGGAAGGAAAGGGAAGGAAAGGAAGGAAAGGAAGGAAAGGAAAGGAAGGAAGTCCCCAGTAGAATGTGCACAATTCATTGTTAACAGGACTGCTGGGATTTCAACAGGCTTGGTAAATGACATTCATCTTTCTCACAAATGTTGTGAGGCAATTAAGAAATCCGACCAAAGAATAAGGCAGCTAGGAGAATAGATATCACATTGTTAATATTGAAAAATGAGGCTACGTCTCTAGGCAAGTAGATCACATTGCACTCAAGAATTAAACTGCTGGTCTTTTTAAATTTTTATTTATTTTTTTGAGACCTGGTTATAAGACTGGCTAATTTTTGTATTTTTCGTAGAGATGGAGTTTCACCATGTTGCCGAGGCTGGTCTCAAAATCCTGAGCTCAAGCAATCCATCTCCCTCAGCTTCCCAAAGTGCTTAGATTACAGGCGTGGGCCACCGCACCCAGCCACTGCTTATCTTTTGAATCCCAAGCACCACTGGACTGGGCAAGCCTCTGAAAAACAGGGCCTGCCTGGTGCATTTATGACAAGGATGATCAGAGTGGAATGCAAGCTTCCAGAAGACAGGCTCCTCCCAAGAGAAAAAGGGAAGAGGCTGAGCCATTTGGTCAGTTATTCCTTCCACATTCACCAGTCAGATAAGTGACGTATCTTCCAGAAAGGAGCAAGGAAGGGGCATAAAAACACCAAGGAAGGGACCTAGAGAAGACACTATGTCTGAGCCTAAGAGGAACACACATCATCCAGAAATCCTAGACTAGTGGAGCTCCCTCCACAAGAATAAAACCTCAACAGTGGGAAAAAGGGTCCCCACCACCACACACTCCATCCCATGTCAAAACTTTAAGAGAGTTTTGCTAGTCCAGTGATTCCCTCATACCACCATTCAACATAGTAAATAAAAACAACATCTTTTGTAATTTCCATACTGTCAACACTCTTTCTGAGTGACACTGGTCCCCAATTAAGACAGCAGTAATCAATTATATGAACAAACAATAATCAATTATATGAACAATAATCAAGTCTCTATAGCATTAATAAATGGATTTTAGCCATGTAGTGCCTACTTTTAAAAGGCACTTAAGAAAGGCTTCACTTTTTTCTAATTATTCTTTCAACATGTATATAGCCCTTACTATATGCTAATACGGTGACATATTTATTTAACACTCACAATGACCTTACAAGTTGAGTACTAGTACAAGTTGAGTACCACTACTTAAATGAGAAAACTAAGAAAGCTAAGACTCTTGCTGAAGGTCACAGAGCTAATAAGAGTGAAGCCAGGAGTAAACATTGGTGACTTTTCTTTTTTTTTTTGAGACAGAGTTTCGCTCTTATTGCCCAGGCTAAAGTGCAATGGCGCAATCTCGACTTACCACAACCTCCGCCTCCCAGGTTCAAGCGATTCTCCTGCCTCAGCCTCCCGAGTAGCTGAGATTACAGGCGCACCACCACCATGCCCAGCTAATTTTGTATTTTCAGTAGAGACGAGGTTTCTCCATGTTGGTCAGGCTGGTCTCAAACTCCCGACCTCAGGTGATCTGCTCGCCTCAGCCTCCCAAAGTGCTGGGATTACAGGTGTGAACCGCTGTGCCCGGCCCACCTTGGTGACACTTATGTCAAAACTCATGCTCTGAAGTACTGTCCAATCCTTCCCTCTAATCATTAAGCTAGATGTTTGTCTTAGGAGGTCATTCAATGTGTTTTAAATTAGAAATGCCAGTAGGACAACCAGTTAGTGAATAAAGCAAATGGACTCAAATATTCTGCTTCATGAGTAATTGGCCCTCAAATGCACAAACCAAAATTTGCTAGAACAAAAGTCCACATAAACTAGGAAAAGGAAGAAAACGGTTCCATCATTTTTGACAAACTGTTGCCAAGTATCTTCCAACTTAAAATTGGTCCTAATAATAACTCTAACTCTTTGAGGTTCTATTTATCCCTGTTCTCTGTATCAGTGAGATTCTCTTATTTCTATGGTTTCAATTTTCATAAATACCACCTGTAAAATACATACAATTCTGTAAAAATGGTACAAATAGAACATACATGCAATTAATACTGCAATTACAGCCCCTTACTGCTTAGTTATTTGCTCATGTCTTTAAGTTCAGAGAAATGAGGGATGTACTCCTAGCACCTAAAATGATACCTGACAAATATTAGGGGCTCATATAAACACTTACTCAAAATACTGATTTAAATGAATAAATAGCTTTCAAGTGTTTAACTCAATAAAATAAGACACTTACAGGATTTGTCTCTTTTGGAAATCTTAAAAGGTATGTTAAGTGAATCCAAAATAGATTAAATAACTGGCTTTGTGGTCAAGTTTTTTTCTTAATGGAAATAGATTATTGGACCTGGAGTAGACACTACCTCTGAACCTAAGAGGAACACACATCATCCAGAAATCCTAGACGTGGTGTTGAACACATCAATTCAATGTGTCTTTAATTCCTCTTGGGAAGAAGATGAGTTTGTACTGTGTCTACTCAGGAAAGTTACAGCATTTAGGCACTTTGGGAATTGCATGCATGGGGAGAAGGGTATGGATGTGTTCTGGTATCTCAGTAGCAGAATGCGATAGGTTGCGGTTGCTCTTTTTAGTTTGCTCATTTGCCCAGCAAGCCTTCCCACTCCCTTCCTAAGGTAACATATTCTGTCTCTTCTTCTCCACCCCCCAACCACTGAGGATGATCACCCAACTCAAGCTGGCTGTTCATGGTGTCTCATTCCCCAGAATACATGATTGGTACAAGGCTTGGCATGAGACCCAATCAGGCCAGGGTCCTTCCTTGAGATTCTTCTGCTTGTAGCTAGCTGAGTCATAATGTGGAAAATTATTCAAAATCTGGATTTCTGATAACAACCTTCCTTGAAGCAAGATGGAATAAAACCAAAGGCCCTGGTTCCTACAGCAATTCCTTCTTCTGTGAGAAAACCCCTTCTTGCCGAAGCCAGTTTGAAATAGGTTTCTGTCACCTGATGCTGAAAAAGACCTGACTAATATACTAGGTCTTTGCCATAGTAGGATAATGTAACCTCCCTTTGTGACATTGGTTCTATGGAGAAATGTATTCAAGTCTCAACAGCCCGAAAGCCGTCATGAACTTTGTAAGCAGTCTCCAGCAAGTTGAGGATGAGTTGAATTCAATGCATTCATAATGCTGACCACAAGATGGCGCCTAAGACATTCTTTCAAAGGCCACTCATGCCCTACGTAAAGAATCCTAGATTCTATTAGGTTGCAAAATCCTTCCATTCTAGATTATTCCATAAGCACTCTGGTAGTTACAATGTAGCCTTCAGAGTATCATGCACATAATGGTCTTCAGTGAATGGTCAAATCACCAAAACACTGAACAAATATGAAAAGATGATGTCTGGTCTTTTCTTACAGGATAACAAATCAACCAGCAACATGTTCAGGAAATTTAGTCAAATAAAAATGCTCTATGACAGCTGAGATCAGCAAACCCCTATTATGTATTCATTAAATTAACCTGATTATCTTCCCTGTCTTCAAGGGCAAACAGAACTTAACACTATTTTTAAGTTTTTTCCCTACTGACAACTTAAGGTCACAAGTTCATGTCCCTGTCTCTCAACCAGGTTTAATGTCCATCAACTGGCCCAAGAAGTCTCCTCAAAGCTTGCCTTCAGTTTCCAGATACAACCTACAACACATAAAGTAAAAACCAAAATACGTTACATCTTACAGATTCTTTGAATTACGTTTTAAGGTGAGCTCATGAAAATGGAAGGAAAAGGCCTCTCGGGTAAAGTACAAGGCTCCTACTACCATAATAAGTTTTGTGAACTTTCTTTACGAAGAAAAGTTTTTCCCTCTTGTCTCTCCTTTGGTAGTAAAACACCATCACATGTTACATTCTATTCAAAGCCAGCAATTTTCCTTTTGAGCACTTGGCACACATTTTGTAATTATATGTTTCTACTTAATTGCTTTTTTTTCTCTCCTCCACAGTTATCTATCTCCATGAGGGAGGAACTATATTTTGTACTACTATGTACTTAGCACCAACAACAAAAACCAGCACTCAATAAATATTTATGTAGGCACCCAATAAAGTTATTGAATGAATAAACAAATGAGTGTCAAAAGTATGTCAATACAGAGAATTACTATAAAACAAGTGCAACTATTTATCAAGATCCAATCCATGTCTTGATAAATAATGGAAGGTACAGAAAACAGTCTCACATGCCAACACTTTTGGGTTGGTAGAAAAGCCTTAGTCAGTCTATTAGTCTGTTCTTGCATTGCTATAAAGAAATACCTGACAGTGGGTAATTTATAAAGAAAAGAGGTTTCACTTGCTCATGGCTCTGCAGGCTGTATAGGAAGCAAGACTGGGGAGGTCTCAGGAAACTTACAATCATGGCAAAAGGCAGAGGGGAAGCAGCATGTCTTACATGGCCAGATGAGGAGGAAGACACTGGGAGGTGCTACACACTTTTCAACAACAAGATCTCATAAGAACTCATTCCCTATCATGAGAACAGCACCCAGGGGAAATCCACCCCCATGTTTCACTCACTTCCCACCAGGCCCCACCCTCCAACACTGGGGATTACAATTCAACATGAGATTTGGGTGGGGACACAGACCCAAACCATATTGGTCAGAGAGCCCAGGATCACTGGTATCCAACTCATCTCCAGCACATCCTCTCCTCTAACTAATACAGAGGCTGACTACAAACTTCTGGATCTATTTCTGTCCCCACCAGAGTTCTTCCTAAACTCTTGGCCATACATAGATGAAATCTACCCCGGTCTCCAACCCTAAACAGGGTTCTTGTCCAGTCAACATATTTCTAGCCACCCTCTCATTTGTCTTTTTCTCTCCTTGTTCTATTCACTGTTTCCTGGTCATCTCTGTCAGATTTTCCTATTTTTATTAACTATTCAGCCAAGTTCCAGCTTGTCTTCTGTCTAAAAAGTCCTTTTTTCCCACAGATTACTATATGTGCAGAAATATCTGCATAGAAGATGGAAACTGCCCACAACAAAGGGGATATTGAACAACGCTTTACTGCCTCTATACCTGTTAGGGTTATTTAACTTTAAGGAACAAAAATTAACTCTGGGTGATTTAAACTAGAAAGTAACAGAAGTAATTCATAGAATCAAAATTTTTAAAAAGGCTAAAAGTGGTGACTCACACCTGTAATCCCAGCACTTTTGGAGGCGTAGGTGGGTGGATTGCTTGAGCTCAGGAGTTCAAAACCAGCTTGGGTAACATAGCAAGAGCCTATCTCTACAAAAACAAAAACAAAAAATTAGCTGGGCATGGTGGTGCACACCTGTGGTCCCAGCTACTTGGGAGGCTGAGGCAGGATGATGGCTTGAGCCCAGGAGGTCTGGGGTGCAGTGAGTGGAGATAGCACCACTACACTCCAGCCTGGGCAACACAGCGAGACCCTGTTTCAAAAAAAAAAGAAAGAAAGAAAATGAAAGGAAAGGAAAGGGGAAAAAAGGCATAGAAGCAGGCTTCAGGAAGGATAGAAATGGCTGCTTTGAGGATCTGGGTAGCAGGAAATAATGAACAGGTTCTCTCTTCAAGATGCCTTCCACAAAGGCAATGAGTTCAGTCCATGTTCAGTCCTTATGGACAATTCACTCCAGATGCCAGTTTCAGAGAGAGTATCTGATTGGCCTAGAGTAGATCACTGGACCAACCCTTGACTGGAGGTGGGGCACCTAGATTGACAGGCATCATGTACAGTGCAGATAGAAAGACGCCATGGGGCAGAATTGCTATCCCACCCTGCACTGTCTGCCTTCACATTAAGTGAGCGGGGCATAAATTTTACCTTGTTTAATCCACCGCCATTTCAGATCTCTGCCCCTTGCAGACGAAGCCTAACAGTGCACCCACCTGAACCTTACTTATGGTTAGAACACAAGTAAGGATAGAAGCCAGCTGTGTCGAAGGGAAAGTAATCCCTCCTCATGGAAATCAGGAGAGGAAAAGAGGCATTCTTCTCTAATTAGTAATAATTTCTGCCTGATCTGGCATAGGTATTGAATAATACCTACTTCATTCATTCTCTAGGGCCTAAGGACCATGGAATTCAAAGGATCTATTGTCTCCCGCGTCCGTGTGAAGAGTCCGCCAAACAGGCTTTGTGTGAGCAACAAGGCTGTTTATTCCACCTGGATGCAGGCGGGCTGAGTCCGAAAAGAGACTCAGCAAAGAGTGGTGGGATTATCATTAGTTCTTACAGGTTTTGGGATAGGCGGTGGAGTTAGGAGCAATGTTTTGCAGGCAGGGGGTGGATCTCACAAAGTACATTCTCAAGGGTGGGGAGAATTAACAAAGAACATTTTTAGGGGTGGGGGAAATTACAAAGAACCTTCTTAAGGGTGGGGGAGATTACAAAGTACATTGATCAGTTAGGGTGGGGCAGAAACAAATCACAATGGTGGAATGTCATCAGTTAAGGCTATTTTCACTTCTTTTGTGGATCTTCAGTTACTTCAGGCCATCTGGATGTATACGTGCAGGTCATAGGGGATATGATGGCTTAGCCTGGGCTCAGAGGCCTGATATCCATGAACTTAAATGGGGGAAAAAAGTTACATCTTTATTTTCACTAACCTCTTAACTGAAATTTAAAATGTGTTTCAATTAAGCATTTACGGCCGGGCACAGTGTCTCATGCCTGTAATCCCAACACTTTGAGAGGCCAAGGCAGGGGCGGATCACCTGAGATGTGGAGTTCGAGACCAGCCTGGCCAACATCGTGAAACCAGCTAACAAAAAATTAGCTGGGCGTGGTGGCAGGCGCCTGTAATCCCAACCACTCAGGAGGCTGAGGCGGGAGAATCGCTTGAACCTGGGAGGCGGAGGTTGCGGTGAGCCGTCACGCCACTGCACTCCAGCCTGGGTGAGAAGAGCGAAACTCCGTCTCAAAAAAAAAAAAAAAAAAAAAGGAATTTAGGCAACAGCCAGGACGGGGTGTTTACAACTAATTGATTACAACCAGTCACAGATTTCTTTGTTTCTTCTCCACTCCCACTGCTTCCCTTAACTAGCCTTTATTTCTTTTTCTGCTTTTTTTAGATGGAGTCTCGCTGTCTCACCCAGGCAATCTTGGCTCACTGCAACCTCCACCTCCCAGGTTCAAGCAGTTCTCCTGCCTCAGCTTCCCGAGTAGCTAGGATTACAGGCGTGAGCCACCACACCCAGCTAATTTTTTGTATTTTTAGTAGAGACAGGTTTCACCACACTGGCCAGGTTGGTCTCAAACTCCTGGCCTCAAACGATCTGCCCACTTCAGCCCCGAAAAGTGCTGGGATTACAGGCGTGAGCCACCACGCCCAGCCGACTAGACTTTAAAAAACAAAACCAAAACAAAGAATTTAGGCAATGAACCAAGTATTATAGTACTGGCCAGAACCTGTTGCTTACTCAACCAAATAATATCGTAGTTTTTTTTTGTAATACTTCATAGTTGCTGCAGATATCATAAAATATATACAGTCGTCATTATTTTCAAATTACAGTAGTTCTTCTACCTATGGAGGTTAACATGTTACTAAGAAGCACACGTGTTACAAATTTTCTCTTTTAAAATAACTGTATTTCAATATAATTGGTTTCTTTAGTGATTCTATTTATTTTATGTCACGCATGGAAAAATATTTCTCTGAGCTTTACTGGACTAGTCTACAAACACGTGGCACAACAAAGGTTTCACTATGTTGTTCAGGCTGCTAATTTTTTATTGTGTAGAGACAAGGTCTCCCTACATTGCCCAGGGTGGTCTGGAACTCCTGGGCTCAAGTGATCCACCCACCTTGGCCTCCCAATGTATTTCAATCCCTGTTCTACAAATAACCCCACAAAAAAGGAGCAAAGGACATGAACAGGCACTTCTCAAAAGAAGACATCCATGCAGCCAGCAATCATACGAAAAAAAAAATTCTCATTATCACTAATCACCATCTCACTAAACCACAGTGAAATAGTTTCTCACACCAGTCAATATGGCTATTATTAAAAAGTCAAATAATAACAGATGCTGGCAAGGCTGCAAAGAATAAAGAATGCTCATACTCTGTTGGTGAGAATATAAATTCGTTCAGCCACTGTGGAAAGCAGTTTGGAGATTTTCAAATAATTTAGAACTACCATTCAACCCAGCAATCCCATTACTGGGTATGTGCCCAAAAGAAAATAAATCATTCTACCAAAAAAAAGACACAGGCACTCACTCATATGTTTATTGCAGCACTACTCACATTAGCAGAGACATGGAATCAACCTAGGTGTCAATCAATGATGGATTGGATAAAGGAAATGTGGTACATGTACACCATGGAATACTTTGCAGCAACACAGATGCAGCTGGAGCCATTATCCTAAGTGACACAAGAACAGAAAACCAAATACCAGCAGGGAGTGGTGGCTCACGCCTGTAATCCCAGCAGTTTGAGAGGCTGAAGTGGGCAGATCATTTGAGGCCGGGAGTTCAAGATCAGCCTGGATACCATGACAAAACCCTGTCTCTACAAAAAAACACACACACACACACACAAAGTAGCCAGGCGTGGTTGTGTGCACCTATAGTCCTAGCTACTCAGGAGGCTGAGGTGGGAGGATTGCTTGAACCTGGGAGGTCAAGGCTGCAGTGAGCCATGATTGCACCACTGCACTCTCCAGCCTGGGTGGCAGAGTGAGGCCCTGTCTCAGAAAACCACACACACACACACACACACACACACACACACACACACACACAAACCACATGTTCTCACTTATAAGTGGAAGCTATACATGGGGTACTCGTGGACATAAAGATGAGAACAATAGACACCAGAGACTACTGGGCAGGGGAAGAATGGGGGAAGTAGGGGGGAGGGGATGGGTTTTAAAAACTACCTACTGGATACTGTGCTCACTATCTGTATGAATGACGGGATCATTTGCACCCCAAACCTCAGCATCACACAATATATCCATGTAACAAACCTGCCCATGTGCCTCCATATCTAAAATAAAAATTGAAAATATTAAAAACCCTTTAAGGAATAAAATACATTGTTATTAACTATTTTTTTAAAAAAAGAATTTCTACTTTTTTTTTTTTTTTTTTTTTTTTGAGACAAGCCCTCATTCTGTTGCCCTGATTGGAGTGCAGTGGCACTGTCACAGCTCAGGCTCACTGCAGCCTCTATCTTCCAAGCCCAAGGGATCCTCCCATCTCAGCCTCCAGAGTAGCTGGGACTACAAGCACCTGCCACCATGCCTGGTTACTTTCTGGTTTTTGGGTGTTTTTGTTTTTGTTTTTGTTTTTGTAGAGACAGGGTTTCACCATGTTTCCCAGGCTGGTAATTTTTTATTTTGTAGAGATGAGGTCTCCCTATGTTGCCCAGGCTGGTCTGGAACTCCTGGGCTCAAGCAATCTATCCTTCATGGCCACCCAATGTATTTCAATATATTTGGTTTCCTTTGTGATCTTATCTATTTTATGTTATGCATTGAAAAATATTTTTTCTGAGCCTGAGCCTCTGCACTCGGCCAAGAATCCCTGTTCTAAGGGAAGTCAATACAAGACTTTTAGCTAAATGACATGATCATATTTGTCTTTCATAAAGAGAACTCTGGAAACCTTCATAGAAATACCTAGAGTTGGGGGAAATTAACATGTCATACAAGGCTCTCTGCAGGCTGGCCTCCACATCCCTGTCCTGCCTCTTGTCCTGCCTTTCTCTCACTTGTATCTGACCTTCTGGACATCTGGGCTTCTCACTGTCTGCCATATGTTTCATGCTCTTGACCTCTCTGGGACTCTGAGCATGTTCCCTCTCCTCTGAATGATTTCCTCCCTCTTTCCTACAGCATGAGCTTCTTTAAAACCCAGCACACATCATCCTCTCTTTGGGGCTGCTTACTCCCTCTGTCATATTCCCATAGCCACAGCACCTTGAACGTAATCCAGAATAATACACAACACACGGAATCCCTTGTCATTCTAAGTACCTGTCTCCCAGCTAAGCTGTTGCTTCTACTGTCCTGGGGTCTGTCGGAATCATAGGCCAGCCCTCCTTGATCCATCTCCTCTCATGCTGGTTTTGTTGCTGACACAATTCATCCCCTCTTTCTTTGATTACCAAGACTCAGTTGCCACTGCATGCAGACATATCTTATCCCTGTCCCCTTTTGCTTCAGTCACCAAGCCCTAACGAGACAGCCTGGGTCCTCCTCATTCTGACTGCAAGGCACACCCACCCCAAGTTCTCTAGTCAGGGTCCCGGTCAATTTTATGCCCCTGTGGGGAACTCTTCTGTGCAGCTTCATGTGCAGGTGGGTGGATGGGCAGGGGGACATGCTGGCTACACCTGCCACACTACCACTTATGCCCTTCTTCAGCTGCACCATATTGGCAAGTGGGCTAGGATAGAAGGGCTTCTTGTCCTTCTGCCATGTTTATGCTCATTTCATAAATGAGTAAGTGGGACTTACAGAGGCCAGTTTACTGGCGCAAAGTCATGAAGCTACTAAATGGAAAGCCAGTTTTCAGCCTAATGGTATTTAAGGCCAGAGCCCAAGCTCCTAACATGGACCTACTATGTGTCAGACACCATGCCGTGGGCTGGGAATACAAGGAAAAATAAGATACAATAGCTGGTCCTGTGTTGCTGGGTCTGCTAATGATACAAACTACTATTTGTCTGCTGCTGCTGCCTGCAGTGATATTTCTGTGAGGTGAGAAACAATGATTTATCCTTTGAAATCTACTTGATAACTACTTACTCATCAGCAATGTTGTTTACTGCAAAGATCACAGGACTTAAGGTCTAAAGCTTCTGGTTCTAGCCTTCTCTGCTACCTATTAGTAATCAGTTCAGTATGGGCCTCCATTTCCAATCTGAAAAAGAATAAAATATGTGCACTGATAAGCTCACAGGGATATTGTGAATTTCAAGGACTTGAAAACGTAAGGCCAGGCTCAGCGGCTCACACCTGTAATCCCTTTTGCATCTCCACAAAAAATACAAAAATTAGCCAGGCATGATGGCACATGCCTGTAGTCTCAGCTTCTCGGGAGGCTGAGGTAGGAGGATCACTTGAGCCAGGGAAGTTGAAGCTGCAGTGAGCCACGATTGCACCACTGCATTCCAGCCTGGGTGACAGTAAGACCCTGTCTCAAAAAAAAAAAAAAGAAGAAGAAGAAGAAGAAGAAGAAAAAACAGACTTGAAAGCCTTCAATATAAGGTTGAGGATTATTGTTAATACCAATCTGAAGTCACATTGCATATTCTCCCACTAAGATTTTCAAACCTTTTCATAAATAGTTACAATCAGTTCATAATAATTTTTAAAAGTAAAGGGCAGTAGTGGTTCCTAGCAGGAAGGGGATGACAGCAGAAGCAAGGAACTGAGCAGATGAATACAATGCCATTGTTATTATTCTGGCTCTTGAGTTGATCAGTGGTTCCACAGGTGTCCAATTTATTAGTATGTTTGTTAACTTATATCTGTGTTATAAGTATTCTTTTTCATATATTAAATATTGAATAATAAGTGTTTGGATTTTTTATTTTAAAAGTAAGGCTTTATTGGGGGAAAAAAGCTGCAAAGCAAGAGATTAGAAATATGGAAACAATCTGCAGGGGAATTCTTGTGTTTGGGATTCTTGTATGAAGGGAACTTAAAACCACACAGATTTTATGGGTGGAGGGGAATGAAAGCAACACACTCTATCTATTAATTTTTAAAACTCAGATCCTACCAAATTTCAGCCTTAGAACAGAGTTTCACACCACTTTACACTGAAAAATCTATCCCTCTTTGAATTGTAGGAAATCATTTATTTCTTTTTCCAAAAAAGAACTCTCAGCTAGTCTAGAGAGATAACACATTTGTTGTAGCCATAAATTTATTTGGAAGAACAACTGGGCTTTACACAGGCCATCTGGAGAAGACAAATGTTTCATGGAAGCATGTGGGAAATTTCACTGACAACATATGTAGCTAAATGAACTGTCTTTGGCATCGCCGAAAGGAGAAAATTCCATTACACACAAGGAAGGTATTTCAACAATCACCTCAAAGTAAATATACATTAATCTACTAATTTAACTAAAACATATGTAAGGTGAAGCTATGCTTCTCTTCCATGTACTGACAGCTAAACATACAGCCTCTGCAGAGGAGGCATTTGGTTCAACTCCACAGGGACACCTTTGAAATCACTGTATTCATCTGCACATGTTTAAAGAAATGTGTCTTCCTGAAACTCCCCCTTCCTCTGCACACCTTCCACTCCCCTGAACCCTTGTGTGATGTCATGGAAATGTGGAAGAATATTAGGTAGGGAATCAAGAGAGATAGTCCTACCCCTGTCACTAATTTAGAGACCTCAAACCAGCCACATAGCCATTTCATATAGTTTTATCACCTATAAAATGAAGGAATAATTACTTCTCTAGTTACATCACAGGGGTTTTGTGAAGACACTATTAACACCTCATATTAGGATAATAGTTTACAATTTGATATGTGTTTTAAACAGATTGTTTCATTTATGTCACAACTTTATCCCCATTTGATAGATAAGAAAATTAATGCTACATAAGGGAAACAGTAATTGCTACAATAAACAAAACAGTCAGCACTTAACACAATAGGGTTATTTCCTGCTCATGTAACTGTGTACTGAGGGTGTTCCTGGTCAGGGTGCAGTTTTCCTCCACGAAGTAATTGAGCCCTGGCTCCTTCTGTCTTGTGGCCCCACCAGATCCTACAGCCTTGGAGTCTCCTGCCTCAAGCTGGCAGACAGGCAGAGAGGTTGGAGAAAGCACACCTACTTTTTAACAACCTCATGCTGGAAGTGACCCAAATGACTTTCACTTACATCTCACTGGTGAGAACAGTCAATGCCTCCACCCAGATGTGAGGGGTATTGCGAAATGTAGGCTATCGCTGGGTGGCTGCTTCCCAGTGATAAAGCTGTTCTGTGGAAGAGGAAGCATAACTTTATGGTGAACAGTTAATCACCTCTGCCATGACAAAGCAGTTATGCTATTAACTCAAGGCCGCACAACTAGTAGATAGTCTATTAGCTATCTATTTCTGCATAGCAAATTACCATGAACTAAGTAACTTAAAATAACACACAGTCTGAGCCAGGAGTCTGGACACGGTTTAGCTGGGTTCTCTGCTTCAGAGTCTCACAACGCTGTAGTCAAGGTGTTGGCCTGGGCTAAGTTCTCATCTGAAGGCTTGCCTGGAGAAGAATCCATTTTCCCACTCAAATGGTTCTTGGCAACATTAAGTTCCTTGCAGTTATAAGATTCATGACAGCTTTCTTCTTCAAAATCAGTAACGGAGATGGTAGAGGGGGTGAGGGAGCAAGAGGCTCTGGAGTGATATATAATATAATGAAATTTTAAGGGCAGCATCTCTTCACCTTTGCTATAGTCTACTGATTAGAAGTAATTCACAGGTCTGCCTACAAGCAAGAGAAGAGGATTATATAAAAACATAAACACCAGGAGAGGAATCATGGGGGCCACCTTAAAGTTTGCCCATCACAATAAAAAACTCAAACCCAGACTTTCTGACTACAAATCCAATGTCCTTTCCATTTAATCGTTTGTCCATCTTTGGACTCCACAGTTCTAATCTGTAAAATGAAGATAATATTTGCATATAACATACCCAGTTATTATGAGGAACAAATAAAATAGTGGATGTGAATTCACTCTATAAGCTGTAAACTACTCTGTAAATTTAATAGTTTTTTATTTTTATTTTATCCCCTTGCCTATGATGTTTCCCTACTCTTCCTGACCATCTAAATCCTATTCTTCCTTCAAGGACCATCTCAATGCTACCTCCTCCATGAAGCATGTGTATCATTCGGGATGAGGTTCAAATGATGGCTCAAATAATTTTGAAGCCAAAGCTGATAATACAAATCCACAAAATCACTGAGGATCAAGACATCTTCCAGATCTCTAACCTAGAGTGTGGTCTCTATTCTGAAGGCCCAAGATGGCTACTAGAGCTCCAACCATCACATTTCCAAACCAGACAGCTAAAAAGAAAAAATATTTTTTATAGATACTTCCCAAAAGTCCTACTTAAGACTTGGATTCAAGTCCTTTTGACAAGAACTAAGTCCCATTCCTATACCTGGTTGCAACAGAGCCTGAAAAATACAGTTTCTAGTTGGGTATGCTAATATCTTGAATAAATGTAGGGTTCTGTTACTAAGACAGAGGAAGAGAATGAATTTGGAGAGAGTAAATAGTCTCAGCCATAAGACGTTTTTTATTTATTTATTTATTTATTTTTGAGACAGAGTCTTGCTCTGTCACCCAGGCTGCAGTACAACGGTACAATCTCAGCTCACTACAACCTCCGCCTCCCAGGTTCAAACCATTCTCCTGCCTCAACCTCCTGAGTAGCTGGAACTACACGTGCACACCACCATGCCCAGCTAATTTTTGTATTTCTGGTAGAGTCGGAGTTTTACCATGTTGGCCAGGCTGGTCTCAAACTCCTGACCTCATGTGATCCACCCGCTCCGGCCTCCCAAAGTGCTAGGATCACAGGCATGAGCCACGGCACCAGGCCTCATAAGATGTTTTAGAAATATCAAGTATACACATCTACCTAGAGGACATGGGATAAATAGGAATATCAATGATTTGGAAATACATTTGTAGAGAGCCTAGAATTGCAAGCTAAGGAATTAGATTTCACTTGGTATCTAATAAGGAAAAGTAACATGGTGAAAGGGGTGAGTTAGGAAGCTGAATGTAACTGCGGCTTCAGGCTTAGGAATATTAGTTCTAAGACTGTTATGATCTAGCAAGAGATGAAAAGATCTGAATGTTACCTGAATAGGGATGACAGGGAAGAATGAAATTAGAGAGCTATTTTAAAGAAAAAAATCCAATTATATATAGATGGCAGGAGAGAGGACAAAGAAGCCAAGTTGGTGGAGAGAAAATGAGACAGGAAAACCTAAGGAGGTACCAGGTCAATAGAATAGGAGGAGCAAGGAGAACTCTGTGGCTGACTGCTAGAATTAAGGAAGGAAAATGATAGGCCTGGTAGCAAATTTGAGAGCCATAGC
This sequence comes from Homo sapiens, assembly GCF_000001405.40. Lineage (NCBI taxonomy): Eukaryota > Metazoa > Chordata > Mammalia > Primates > Hominidae > Homo > Homo sapiens. The sequence goes on along the minus strand of NC_000004.12, from coordinate 83,628,141 downwards.
AGTGAAATATTTATAAGAGAAATCACTTAAGTGGCTCCATCTCCCACTACTTAGGCAAACCTTGGCTGGGCAAAACGCTCAGGCTCTGTGGAACTCAATTCTCCTCATTTGAAAATGGGAATAACGATCCCTACCTTGCAAGATGAGAGTTCCTGGTACGCAGAGTAAACAATGGCCATTACACCTAATTTTGCAACTGGAAGGGGGAATAGAGGCATACCTGGCACTTCACGGCATGCCCAGCTTTGTGGCCTAAACACATCCACCTGCTAAAGCAGCAAGTAGATGAAGTTCCTTTCTCTTCCAGAAAATTACATGAATCTACTAGCTTTAATATAATAAAAAGCCCAATCGTGGGGGATAAGCAAAAACTAACAAAAAGTTTCCTTATTTGAAGTCAGTGCTCTCGAAATGTCATCCACCTTTACCAGCCATCTGCCAATCTGAGACATGTGCATGCACCAGCCCGGGGCTGCATCCCACCCTACCCACCACTCCTCTTGAGGAACAGCAGTAGCCAGCCTCAGGAGCCAGCCTAACTCACCAGTTATGCCCCTGACCTGGCCCCATACCTCAAGAGGCTAGGGACAGCTAGTCCAAGACTAGAGAAAGGTCTGCAGATAACAGATCCTGCCCCAAGACCACACCAGCAGACAATCTGAGGTTGCCCCAGACAAGCCACCATACAGATAGGCAAGGCACCCAACGTGGAAAAACAACATTCATTCCTGCCCAGATAGCAGGTTGTTGGGAAAGGCTCTGCTTCAGTGAGCACTGATTAAATGAATGAATGAATATCCCTCAAGCTTGCATTAAGAAAGATGGGCTACAGAACAGATTTATCTGTGAAATATTTTGAACTGCTGCCAGCAGATCCACTCTCTTAATTTCATCCATAAATATAATGTGACAATAGCAGAACAAGATCCTCAGAATTGGAATTTATCAGAAAGTGTAGAGAAAGAAATTTAAACATGTAACCATGTAGCAATGCTTTGCAATTTCCCATTACAGAGAAAAGCTGCTAAGAGGACATTGTTTTACTTTGTTAGTAGAAGTTGAACTTCTGGCCTAAGACTTAGGTTTTATGAAAACCTAAGTTTTCATAAACTTAAAACTTTCCTAAAAATTTCAGTTTTTAGGAAAACTGAATTTTCCTTTAATGATGTAACCAATTACATGATAAGGCCACTTTAGAAGGAAATAATATCAGTACTAGGAAAGAAAATGCTTCTTGTTCCAAAGTAAATCTGTTAAGAATTCACAGATCTACTTGGAAATGCTACACTTAAAAAAAAAAAAAAGTCTAATTTGGATGTCACCTCAGTGATGATTATGCCTTTGTTAATTCAGCGACTTGTGCTGCCCAGATACATGACTTTGATCCCAAACTACCTCCACACAGTGTTTAAAAATAGCAAACCCAGATGAACTGAGCATAGGTAACCCGAGCCAGACATGCGCTAGAGCCACACTATAAATAGAAGGAAAGACAACCCAGAGAAAACAAGGTCAAAGAAACAACCAAAATGCTTTTTAAATACGGACTGATTCTCTTTCGCAGAGACAATGAGAAAATGGGTTACTTCCTAGATTGTTTTATTGAAGGCTGACATGGTTTACGCAAGCTCCTGAATTCTAAGAGCAGTGTTTCTGTGAAACAGTATCGCCTCCAAACAGCGGTGTATGTTCACGGAAGAAATGCACTGCTGGAATTTTCACCTGCTCGCCTCCCCCTAAAAGAGGGACTGCAGCATTGCGGAATCTCTAACTACCAGTATCTATAAATCCCTTCATAATTCTGTTAGAGTTAATTTTCCCTTTTATGTTCAGATTTGAGAGTGGTGTGTTCTATGCCAGAATTAACCACTCTGCAACATTAAACAAATGTGTGTGTTAGCATTGAATATGGGGATTTCTTTTGGGCTATAGGGAGTAGAATCGGGTTTAAATTAGCAATAAGAGATATTGACAGCCTCAAATGCTCTGTTTTTCTCTATCTCACTCATAAATTGGGAAGGAGGACTTCTGGAAAGTCTTCCTCCAGTTCCTGTAAGTTTGCAATACTCTCCCTGGCTGTCTTTCCTGGCACTCACCAAAGAAAGTGTGCTATACAGCTCCTGGAAGAACCCATGCACTTCTGAGGCCTCTATTGTCTGGGCAGCACCCAACAGTGGCTTCTCTGCCTCAGACATGAGTGTAGCAGCAGGTGGGAAACTTCCAAAGGCTTCTGTGCACAATTGCCTATCTCAGCTAGTGTCCAGTTTAATTAAGTTAATATTTAATTTAGCCTAATAGACATTAGATTCAATAAGCATTCAACAAAGTCTGTTGTGAATATTTTATATTTAAATCATTAAAATTAGGTCCTACAATAGAGAGGAGAAGAATCTCTTAAAGTAACATATTTCTTGCTCTAAGGCTGTGTTTTAATGTTTGCTTCGCAGAGCCTCAGGGTTTGCATTAGAGACTATAAATAGAAGCAGAAGGATGAGGTCAGGAGTTCGAGACCAGCCTGGCCAACACGGTGAAATCCCATCTTTACTAAAAATACAAAATTAGCCAGGTATGGTGGCGGGCGCCTCTAATCCCAGCTACTCGGGAGGCTGAGGCAGGAGAATTGCTTAAACCTGGGAGGTTGCAGTGAGCAGAGATCATGCCACTGCACTCTTGCCTGGGCGACAGACCAAGATCCATCTCAAAAAAAGGAAAGAAAAGAGAAAAAAAAGAAACAGAAGGAGACCAAGGGAATTGGGCTCTGAGTCTTTGGAACTTCATCACTGATTCAATCAAAGCATTATGTAAGATTTCACTGAGGAAAAACTTCTCTAGATAAAAAAAGAAAATGTATGTGTGTGTGTGTGTACACACATGCAGACATAACACATATGTATGTATAGATATGCACACATATGTACTATACATATATGCTTATAAAACTCTTCATTTTAGGACTATTTCATTTGCAACTCACTATAGCTGTAAATTGAATTAACTAATTGCAAACCCAGTTTGCTCTAGCTGAAGTATGTGGAAAAGATTGGATTAACTATTATATCTGGAAAGTCAAAGGGTTTTCTGGCCTCAAGCATTGATGAATGAAGGGTATCAAGCTATATCAACAGGATGGATCTCTCTCTTTTTTCTCCACTTTCCTCTGTGCTGTCTTCATTCTCAGAAGGTACTTTCCTTGTGGCAGCAAAGATGACTCCCATGATCTCTGGATCTGCATAGTTCTTACTATTTGCAATCTAAGAACCTATCTCTTTGCGTCCTTATTGCTCTTTCAGAAGGTCTCTGCTTGACGCTCTTAGATAATGTGTCCACCCTTGAGTCAAAAGAAGTTCTCTAACCAGCCAGTGTGGGGGCATGTGCCGACCTCCATGGAAGGAGAAGATGCTTGCCCAGTAATATAACATATCAACAAAAGAAAAGAATACATGGAAGATAAAAGGTAACACCCCTTACATCACTGAAATAAGGTAGGACAACTTTGTTTCATGGTAATATCAGACCTCCATTTTCAAAATGAAATTTGACGGCATAGCCCAAAACATACTAACATTCTTTGTTTATTAAAGCCAAAATGAAATTCACTCAGTGTATTAGTTCTGCTCTCACACTGCTATGAAGAAATACCCAAGACTGGGTAATTTATAAAGGAAAGAGCTTTAATTGACTTACAGTTGTGCAGGCCTGGGGAAGCTTCAGGAAACTTATAATCATGGTGTAAGGGGAAGCATGGTGGCAGCTCCACAGGGTGGCAACAAGGAGAAGTACAGAGCAAAGTAGGGGGGAAGCCCTAATAAAATCATCAGATCTCGGCCAGGCTTGGTGGCTCATGCCTGTAATCCCAGCACTTTGGGAGGCTGGGGTCAGGAGTTGGAGAACACCCTGGCCAAAATGGTGAAACGCTGTCTCTACTAAAAATACAAAATTAGCCAGGTGTGGTGGCACACACCTGTAATCCCAGCTACTTGGGAGGCTGAGGCAGGAGAACCGCTTGAGCCCAGGAGCAGAGGTTGCAGTGAGATGAGATCACACCATTGCACTCCAGCCTGTGCAACAAGAGCAAAACTCTGTCTCAAAAAAAGATAATAAAATAAAATAAAAAATAAAACCATCAGATCTCATAAGAACTCACTAAACACGAGAACAGCATAGGGGTAACCATCCCCATGATTCAATTACCTCCCACTGTGTCCTTCCCATGACACATGGGGATTGTGTGAACTACAGTTCAGGATGAGATTTGGGTGGGGACACAGCCAGACCATATTATTCTATACCTGGCCCTCCCAAATCTTATGTCCTCACATTTCAAAACACAATCATGCCTTTCCAACAGTCCCTGAAAGTTTGAACTCATTCCAGCATTAACTCAAGAGTCTTAGTCCAAAGTCTCATCTGAGACAAGGCAAGTCCCTTCCACCTATGAGCCTGTAAAATTAAAAGCAAGTTAGTTACTTCCTAGATACAATGGGGGTACAGGCATTGGGTAAATACACCCATTCCAAATGGGAGACATTGGCCAAAACAAAGGGACTACAGACCCCATGCAAGTCCAAAATCCAACAAGGCAGTAATTAAATCTTAAAGCTTTAAAATAATCTCCGTTGACTCCATGTCTCACATCCAGGTCATGCTGATGCAAGAGATGGGTTCCCACAGCCTTGGGCAGCTCTGCCTCTGTGGCTTTGTAGGGTACAGCCCCCATCCTGGCTGCTTTCACAGGCTGTTTTTGAGTGCCTGTGCCTTTTCCAGGTGCAAGCTGTCAGTGGATCTACCATTCTGACTTCTGGAGGATGTGGACCTCTCCTCACAGCTCCACAAGGCAGTGCCCCAATGGGGACTTTGTGTGGGGGCTCCAAACTCACATTTCCCCTCCACACTGCCCTAGCAGAGGGCTCCACCCCTGCAGCAAACACCCCTGCAGCAAACTCCAGCCTGGACATCCAGGCATTTCCATACATCCTCTGAAATCGAGGCAGAGGTTCCCAAATCTCAACTCTTGACTTCTGCATACCCACAGGCCCAACACCACATGGAAGCTGCCAAGGACTGGGGCTTGCACCCTCTGAAGCCACAGCCTGAGATCTACCTTGATCCTTTTTAGCCACAGTTGGAGAGGCTGGACACAAGGCACCAAGTCCCTAGGTTGCACACCACAGAGGAGCCCTGGGCCCACCACATGAAATCATTTTCTCCTCCTAGATCTCTAGGCCTGTGATGGGAGGGGCTGCCAGGAAGGACTCTGACATGCCCTGGAGACATTTTCCCCATTGTCTTGGTGATAAACATTCAGCTCCTTGTTACTTATGCAAATTTCTGCAGTAGGCTTGAATTTATCCCCAGAAAATGGTTTTTTTCCTTCTATTGTATTGTCAGGCTGCAAATTTTCCAAACTTTTATGTTCTTGAACACTTTGCTGCTCAGAAATTTCTTCCACCAGATACACTAAATCATCTCTCTTAAGTTCAAAGTTCCACAGAACTCTAAGGCAGGGGCAAAACATGCCAGTCTGCCAGTCTCTTTGCTAAAGTATAACCAGAGTCACCTGTGCTCCAGCTCCCAAAACTTTCCTCATCTCCGTCTGAGATGACCTCAGCCCAGACTTTATTGTCCATATCACTATCAGCATTTTGGTTAAAGCCATTCAACAAGTTTCTAGGAAGTTCCAAACTTTCCCACATCTTCCTGTCTTCTGAGCCCTCCAAAATGTTCCAGCCTCTGCCTGTTACCCAGTTCCAGAGTTGCTTTTACATTTTCAGGTATCTTTATAGCAGCACCCCACTCCTGGTACCAAGTTACTGTATTAATTCCATTCTCATGCTTCTATGAAGAAATACCCAAGACTGGGTAATTTACAAAGGAAAAATATTTAATTGACTTACAGTCAATTACAGGGCTTGGGAGATTTCAGGAAACTTACAATCATGGCAAAGGGGAAGCAAACATGTTCTTCTTCACATGGCAGCAGCAAGGAGAAGTGCAGAGTAAAGGCGGATGGGAAAACCCCTTATAAAATTATCAGATCTCATGAGAACTCACTCATTAGCAAAAGAACAGCATGGAGGTAAATGCCCCCATGATTCAATTACCTCCCACTGGGTCTCTCCAACAACACATGGGCATTATAGGCACTACAGTTCAAGATGAGATTTGGGTAGGGACATAGCCAAACTATATCATTCAGGAAAGTGAACTGGTTATTAAAAGAGACTATGTCTTAAATATGCATGCTTATCTATGTGTAATTTAAAGAAACATGTACAATTGAAAGTAAAGGTTGAATAAAAGATATACTCTAACCACAAATCAAAAACAAAAATAAAAGCCATGCATGGTGCCTCCTACCTGCAATCTCAGCACTTTGGGAGGCTGAGGCAGGCATGGTGGCTCCCACCTGCAATCTCAGCACTTTGGGAGGCTGAGGCAGACAGATCACTTGAGCCCAGGAGTTCAAGACCAGCCTGGGCAACAGAGTGAGACCCCATCTCTACCAAAAATACAAAAATTAGCCAGGCATAGCAGCACATGCCTGTGGTCCCAATTACTCTGGAGGCTGAGGCAGGAGGATTACCTGAGCCCAAGAAGTTAAGGCTGCAAGTGAGCCAAGATAGTGCCAGTGCCCACTCCAGCCTGGGCAACAGCCAGTGGCATGATCTCTTTTTCCCCTTCCTTGAATACTTCAGTCCTAAAGCCATAGGTGGGCAGAGCAAGGTGGGCCTCCACACTGGTGATGGGAAGCACTGGTGGCCCAGAGCAGGGTCTGTGCATGGTGGAGCCTGTGCATGGTGAGACCATCCTCAGAGGAAGGCTGCCCAATGCAGGGCATTGGAACCCAAACAGGTGAGGTGACAGAGCCTGCATTAAGTGAGGAGGATATCTTCATTGGGACGGGACAGCCTGGTGTGGGGAGTCAAGCCTAGAGTGGTAATGGGAGGATCCACAGGAAGGAGTGGCCTCTCCTGTGCAGGGTAAGAAAGGCATTCATGGAAGGGAGTGGTCCTCCATAAAGTAGACACTAAGTGAGGTGAGGAAGGCATCTATATGGGGAGAGTGCAAAGCCATTGAGACTGGTTACAAATAAGTAAATATATCAAAGATAGGGAACAAGGCTCCTCACTGTTTGAGAGGGGACTTACAAATATAAAGAGGGAGAAAATTAAAATGAACCTGTAATATTGGATTGGAAATGGACAGTATGGGGGAAAACCACTCCCATGATTAGATTATCTCCCACCGGGTCCCTCCCACCACACATGGAAATTATGGGAGCTAGAATTCAAGATGAGATTTGGGTGGGGACACAGCAAAACCATATCAGATACTTGTGTAGTTTCAAAGTATCTCCCTCCAAATGACTCATTCACTAATGAAGGAGAAAAGAGTAAGTTTACCACGGAAAAGCCAGGCAGACACCACCTATTATGTGCTAAATTGTGTACCCAAAAAATTTGTATGTTGAGGTCCTAACTCCCAGTACCTCAAACTGTCACTGTTTGGAGATAGGGCCTTTAAGATGGTGATTAAGGTAGAATGAGGTCATATGCATGGGTCCTAATCCAATATGACTGGTGTTCTTGTAAAAAAAAGGAGATTAGGACACAGAAAACACACAGACTGGGGGACAACCATATGAGGACACAGCAAGAAGATGAAGTGAAAGGGAAAACCCTTTTTAAAACCATAAGATCTCATGAGACTTACTACCAATCCAATCACCTCCCACCAGGCCCCACCTCCAACACTGAGGATTACAACTGAATATGAGATTTGGGGTAGGGGACACAGCTCCAAACCATATCACCACCTTAATCAAGCACCCAGAGTACTGTGCTTCAGTCATGGGGCAAATCAAAAGTATGCACCTCCTAATAGGACACAATGAAAAGGGCACTGAGCATCAATCACTTCTTGTTTTTCCTGTCAAAGATGCATAACCTGAAACTAACCATGAGAAAACATCAGAAACATCAAATTAAAGGAGCTACTAAAAAAATGCCTGGCCTGTAATTCTCAAAATTGTTAAGGGCATGTAAGTCAAGGAAGAATTGAGGAATGATCACAAATTTGCCTGTTCTTTGGCAAATATTGATCAAGCTTATAGTGTGGTGGGGGTGTGTAAAACTAACAAATAATGTTCAAAAATAAGTACTAATGGGAAAAAAGCAGGATGGGAGATAGGGAGTGGCAGGAGCTACTCTATTAGGTGGGATGGCCAGGGAACTCCTGTGAGGAGGGGATATTTGGGCAGACAAATGAAGAAAAAGGAGCTTTGCAAATATCTAGGAGATCATTCCAAGCTGAAGTAGCAAGTGCCAAGGCCCTGAGCACAAAAATTCATAGTGGTTTCAAAAAAAGAACAAAAGGGCCAGAGTACTGCAGGAGTTTGAGCCAGGGAAAGCATGATAGAAATCAGGCTAGAAGACTGATCAGTGGTCAGATTGTTTCAAGGCTTCGAATACTGGGGTAAGGAATTTAATCTTTATCCTCTGTGTAATGGGAAGCCACTGAAGAGTTCTGATAGTGGGAGCAAAATGAGTCAATTTATGAGTTGAAATTATCACACTAGCTTCTATTTACCAAATAGACTATTTGGGGAACAAGAGAAGAGGCAGGGAGATCCATTAGAAGAGTTACTATAGCCCTGTAAGAAATGATGATGGCTTGGGCTAGGGAAGTGATGCTGGGGAAGTGGTAAATGGCTCCAAAATAAGAACATGGGGCATTTCGGAGTCAAAAAGGTCTGCGATTATAAACAACCCTCTCCTATTTGGTTTGGTTTTGTTTTGTTTTCTCAAGGGTATGGGAATTGGGAAGGACAGTATATGCACAGAACAAGGAATCACCTGCACGTTTCCTGACTTCACTGGAGAGCACTTAGTCATTCCTCAAGGCACACTCATGTCCTCCCTTCTACACACCCTTCCACCCAACATTTATCACCTCTCTACACTCCCACAGCACTTTGTTCCTGGGCTGGAAAACAGGGCCTCGCCACTTCCTCTTGTGGTTAGTGGTGTTTGTCTCTACTTCCAGATTTTTCTAAGCTCCTGAATGGCAAGTTCCTGCCTTGGGCAGCAAAGAACCTCAAGACTAACAGAGCCTGAATTATAGTATGTATTTTATAAAATATGTGTAAATGCCTAAAGAGGATAACTGTTAAACAGAAGCAGTTTCCAAAGAGAGCTTTTGGACCAAGGAATTTACTAGGTGAAGCTATGGTATTTCATTCATCATTCCATTGTTAACCAAAAATCTGGAGAACTGACTGGATAGAACAGGATTTCCAAAGTCATTTCTCTGCCTATCCTAAAAAAAATTCGGTTCTGCAGGAACAGTTTCAGAACCTGCCTTACAAATAACCAGCACTGAAAATTCCTTCCAGTTAGGACGTTTGACAGGTTCACTTGTGCTTAATTTAGCAACAGACATCAGGGCTGCCTGTATCAAAGAATGATTGCAATGAAAAACAGGCTTTGAACCAAGGTCAACCCCACAGGTGACTCAGCACATGAGCACTGTCACGTGTGCATTCCATAGATGTCAGCTCCACTCCCGGCTCCTAGTCACAGAGCTTGATTCCATTGACACTATACTTTAGTTGTAAAGGAAGTATACTTTTCTGTAAACTCTTTCAGAAGAGTGCTTAGGCATTTACTATCCCAAACTTACATGAAAAATGTTCAAAGGCACTCTAAATCCCCTATGATGTTTTCGTCCAAACATGTTTCTTGATTTTGTTTTTATTTTCCACCTGCTTCAGTGGATTTCCATAGCCCAGA